>NC_000008.11:14102526-14405557 GCF_000001405.40 Homo sapiens | reverse complement strand
TGGCATAAGGCTATATTAAATGCAAATTGGTCTGCCTACCATATTTGATATCCTGTGAAAGAGAGTATATTATTTAAATAACCGATGATGTGCACATTGAGGTATAATAAAAACAGTTCAGAAGTAAAAAAATAATCTGATGTCATTATATTTTCTGAGTGCATTTTAGTTTAAATCTTAATGGAATGTGTGTGAGAAAAAATAATAGTGGGGAAGATACATAAAGTAATCATTGTTACCATCATAGCTTTAAATAGCAAAATAACATATAAAGCTTAACTATCCCATTAAACTACATTTTATTTGTTGCCTTCCAGTCATAAAAATGAATCTATGTCATATATTTCAACGGAGGTGATTTAACACGGGGAACTCATTACAGAGGAGTAATGTTAGAAGGTGATAAGGCAATTCAAAGTGAACACTCACAGTCAGCCCTTACCAAATTTGAGTCTGGGGAGAAGGAAAGTAGTTAGCAGGGTCACAGTTCAGGAGCAAGGGCCACATGGAGGAAGACGACAGCTGAGGGTTTGGCAGCTGCCTCACCAGGCTGGATGTGCAATCACGAAGGACAGGCCACCTGGCCAGATCTGCAACCCGGAGGATTTAAAGCCACTGCCGGCAATAGCCACAGGGAACGAAAGAAGAGACAGCAAATAGATCGACTCTCCCACTCCTCTTGCTCCCAGTCTCACTTGAGTGCCTCCTATTGGCCAGAACTAACTGGAAACGCGTGGGCTTTGAAGCCTAGACGATGTAATTTGCAGGTTTCAGCACCTTGAGATAAGAGCAGAGCAAAAACCAGACACAGATCTGAGAGCAAACAGGAACATGACAGGCCTGTATGTCAGTTACAGAGACATAACTGCAGCTTTGGAGAAAGAACTGGTCTAAGAATCTTGACTTCCTTTTATAATTAAAGTCAAATGCCCTTATTAATTCCCAGTGTCACCCAATCAGGTAGATTCTTTCTGATTGTTAAAGAAAAATAACGCAACATCTAATTTGAAATGACAACCTGAAGTCTGAATTTCCTCACCTAATTTAAAATTCTAAATGTCATTTTAATCATTTAGTATTATTTCAAAGTGTGAAAAGATTATCTGAATTCTCTTACTTTCTCCCCTGCCTCTTTGAATGCTCAAAAATTCCCAAACACTCTGAATACAGTCTCCTTTAAAGAGGACATGTTGCATTTACACTAAGAATTGTGTTTCATAAAAATGGACATTCATGGCATTTATTAAGTAATTTATTTGGCATAATATAATCCTTAAAGATTTTCTAGCACAGTTTTAAAATGAACACTGGCAAAGTTTTATGTGATTAAAAAAACAAATTGCACTTGACAAATGTATATAGATACAATTACAGCTTAGTCTAAGTATGTGATTGTTATGAGAGTAAAATTTAAAATGGAGCTGAAGATAATGCATCTCCACCTCTGGCACCCTCCTTCTCTAATCTCATATTGTCTATTCTCTCTTTTCGTGATACTCAGGTAAGATACATGATTTGTTGGCCCCCCTCCTCCATCTTCTCTCTTTCCTTGTTTCTCTGGGCTTTATACATGGTTTCTATTTAGGAGCTGAAATACTCATTTCTCTTCCTTCAAATTACCATAAAAATATTTCTCCCAGTTGAAACCTAGACTTTCTTGTCTATGACTGATTATTTTAAAGCTCTGAGAAATAAAAAATATATAGTTAACAGCCTTAACAGAGTTTTATCTCCAGTTACCACAGCATTTAAACATACATTTTATATAAATATTGCATGTATATTTTTTCTTAAACTTCAGTAAGGCACAGACCTATGGAAGAAAAAAGACAGAAATTGTTCTTTTGAACCCCCAGAAGTATAATACTGTGAGAAATACTGACTTATGAAAATAAGTTTTTTGATGAACACTAAAATAAATAAATTGTGATTGATGCAAGGCTGGTTCAATATACGCGAATCAATAAATGTAATCCAGCATATAAACAGAGCCAAAGACAAAAACCACATGGTTATCTCAATAGATGCAGAAAAGGCCTTTGACAAAATTCAACAACCTTCATGCTAAAAACTCTCAATAAATTAGGTATTGATGGGATGTATTTCAAAATAATAAGAGCTATCTATGACAAACCCACAGCCAATATCATACTGAATGGGCAAAAACTGGAAGCATTCCCTTTGAAAAGTGGCACAAGACAGGGATGCCCTCTCTCACCACTCCTATTCAAGATAGTGTTGGAAGTTCTGGCCCAGGCAGTGAGGCAGGAGAAGGAAATAAAGGGTATTCAATTAGGAAAAGAGGAAGTCAAATTGTCCCTGTTTGCAGACGACATGATTGTATATCTAGAAAACCCCATCGTCTCAGCCCAAAATCTCCTTAAGCTGATAAGCAACTTCAGCAAAGTCTCGGGATACAAAATCAATGTACAAAAATCACAAGCATTCTTATACACCAACAGCAGACAAACAGAGAGCCAAATCATGAGTGAACTCCCATTCACAATTGCTTCAAAGAGAAGAAAATACCTAGGAATCCAACTTACAAGGGATGTGAAGGACCTCTTCAAGGAGAACTACAAACCACTGCTCAAGGAAATAAAAGAGGATAAAAACAAATGGAAGAACATTCCATGCTCATGGGTAGGAAGAATCAATATCGTGAAAATGGCCATACTGCCCAAGGTGATTTACAGATTCAATGCCATCCCCATCAAGCTACCAATGCCTTTCTTCACAGAATTGGAAAAAACTACTTTAAAGTTCATATGGAGCCAAAAAAGAGCCCGCATGGCCAAGTCAATCCTAAGCCAAAAGAACAAAGCTGGAGGCATCACACTACCTGACTTCAAACTATACTACAAGGCTATAGTAACCAAAACACCGTGGTACTGGTACCAAAACAGAGATATAGATCAATGGAACAGAACAGAGCCCTCAGAAATAACGCCACATATCTACAACTATCTGATCTTTGACAAACCTGAGAAAAGCAAGCAATGGGGAAAGGATTCCCTATTTAATAAATGGTGCTGGGAAAACTGGCTAGCCATAGGTAGAAAGCTGAAACTGGATCCCTTCCTTACACCTTATACAAAAATCAATTCAAGATGGATTAAAGACTTAAACGTTCGACCTAAAACCATAAAAATCCTAGAAGAAAACCTAGGCATTACCATTCAGGACATAGGCATGGGCAAGGACTTCATGTCTAAAACACCAAAAGCAATGGCAACAAAAGACAAAATTGACAAATGGGATCTAATTAAACTCAAGAGCTTCTGCACAGCAAAAGAAACTACCATCAGAGTGAACAGGCAACCTACAAAATGGGAGAAAATTTTCGCAACCTACTCATCTGACAAAGGGCTAATATCCAGAATCTACAATGAACTCAGTCAAATTTACAAGAAGAAAACAAACAACCCCATCAAAAAGTGGGCAAAGGACATGAACAGACACTTCTCAAAAGAAGACATTTATGCAGCCTAAAAACACATGAGAAAATGCTCATCATCCATGGCCATCAGAGAAATGCAAATCAAAACCACAATGAGATACCATCCCACACCAGTTAGAATGGCAATCATTAAAAAGTCAGGAAACAACAGGTGCTGGAGAGGTTGTGGAGAAATAGGAACACTTTTACACTGTTGGTGGGACTGTAAACTAGTTCAACCATTGTGGAAGTCAGTGTGGCGATTCCTCAGGGATCTAGAACTAGAAATACCATTTGACCCAGCCATCCCATTACTGGGTATATACCCAAAGGACTATAAATCATGCTGCTATGAAGATACATGCACACGTATGTTTATTGCGGCATTATTCACATTAGCAAAGACTTGGAACCAACCCAAATGTCCAACAATGATAGACTGGATCAAGAAAATGTGGCACATATACACCATGGAATACTATGCAGCCATAAACAATGATGAGTTCATGTCCTTTGTAGGGACATGGATGAAATTGGAAATCATCATTCTCAGTAAACTATCGCAAGAACAAAAAACCAAACACCGCATATTCTCACTCACAGGTGGGAACTGAACAATGAGATCACGTGGACACAGGAAGGGGAACATCACACTCTGAGGACTGTTGTGGGGTGGGGGGAGGGGGGAGGGATAGCTTTAGGAGATATACCTAATGCTAGATGACGAGTTATTGGGTGTAGCACACCAGCATGGCACATGTATACATATGTAACTAACCTGCACAATGTGCACATGTACCCTAAAACTTAAAGTATAATAATTAAAGAAAAAAAAATAAATAAAAATAAAACTATATATATGTATGTATATTTGAGTTAAGTATTGATTATGACCTATGTGTTTTATTGATATGCATAATGCAAAGAAAGGTAAGAAATTGTACATGCTGTTGCATTAGTTTGGACAAGATTAATCTAGCAAAGTTGCCTGTTACAAGTGTAAATGGAGCTGTATCTTGCACAGTGTGGACTGCTTTCCTTCCATTAATTACACAGGGAGGTCAGCGTACAGGGTGAAACTGGCCTGCTTATAGTGAATTGTTGGTTTCCAAACCATGTTCCACTGATTGTTAGGACTTCACATATTATGGTTTGATTTTCATTGTTTGAAACATATTTAACAAAACAAGACAGAAACACAACCACAACACTTATTCAGTTACATAAATTAATTTAAACTCTTTGGAGATCCACAAGCAAATTAACTTGTGCTGCCATGCTAATTAATTGTTGAGTACTCTATGGATTCAATTCTTTTTTATATGTGTGCATATATTTTACTTTTCTGTAAAAAAAAATACTATTGATTACAAAGTCTTAGCTTTGCACTTTTAAAAACACAGACTCAAGAATAGGCCTTTAGAAAAATTGCACAAGATAGTACGATCATAAAATATTTAAGACATGCAAAGTTCATGTATTCAGTATGTGGTCTGGTCACATAATATATTTTTATAAAGCAAAGTAACCTGATAATTTAAAAGATGTTTCTATCTCATTATAGATAATCTTGCTTGGAATAGAATGCCCAGTGGGACCCAACAATTTGACCCTTAGGCATATACCAAAGAGAAATGCAAACATCTATCCACACAAAAAATTATACATACATGCTTATATATGTATTATTCTTTATAGTCAAAAGTGGTAGCAACTTTGTGAATAGCTACAAAGTGGTAAATGTTCTATCTACCAAAGAGAAATGCAAACATATATCCACACAAAATCTTGTTCATGCATGCTTGTATGTGTATTATTCTTAATAGCCAGAAAGTGGTAACAACTAAAATGTCAACTGATGAATGGATAAATAAAATCTGCTATATAAATAATGAAATATTATTTTATAGTAAAAATAAATGAAGTATCAATACACGCTATTAGATGGATGAACACTGGAAACAATAGCCAAGTGAAAGAAGCTACTCACAAAAGATCACCTGTTGTTTGATACTATTTATGCAAAATGTTCAGAATAAGCAAATATATAGAGACATAAAGTAGATTAGCAATTGCCTAGGGCTTATTGGGGGAAGGGAACAGGGGCTTAACGGGGGAGGAAAATGGGAACTGATAGCTAATGAGCACAGGCTTTCTGTGAGTAGTAACCAGGTTGGAGTTTCTAAAATTAGATGTTGATAATTGCCCAATTTTGGAAGTATACTAAACATTAAATTACACTTTAAAGAAGTAAACTTTATAGCATATAAAGTGTAGCTCAATAAGGATGTTAAAAATCAAATTGTAGATTAATATTATCAGCTATTTGTTAGTCCTTTGAAAAGGCTTATTTTAGAAAATGTAAAATACATCAACAGTTATTGAAAAATATTGATTAGGCTCAAAGCATAATATGTTCTGAAGAAGTTTAAAGCAATGAATAAAATATTATCTTCTTTTCAAATATTCATTATACAGTTGAATAAAGGGCACACAATTTTGCATTTGCAAAATACTGAAAAAAACATACTGCAGAATGTCTGTCTAAAGGAAAATGATTCTAATTTCCAGGAAGAAAGACTGGGACTTTTTTTTCTTTAACAAATCATCTGTGAAGCGAGAAAGAACCTATATATCCAGGCATAAATAAATCAAACCATGAGAAAGACATTTTAAAAAACAGAAGTCCAGCCTGTCAAGTGTGATTGAGCATCACTGAATAAATCCATGGCAGGCACTATTGAAGAGCAAGTGGATGCCCAGGCCTGTCAGATTCTACTGGTAAGATGAAAACTGGTAAGAAGTGAAATTGGATTTACTAGTCATCTAAGCAATTATGGTCACAGATTATTTTGTGACAAACAATAAGTATTATACAAAAATCTCAATAAAAAGGACTCCAAGGAACCCTGACACTTAACAGGAAAATAATCTGATGAAAGATACACAACAATATTTTAAATTCTGAAATGCCTTTCTGCTCAGCAAAAACAATGGGAGTGCCACTTTCTTTTCAGCTCTCAAAATAATAATGATCACGTTTGGTTTCTGAACTTAACAGGCCTGAGAGATCTGTAGCTTGGAAAAAGAAATGTTCCCTTTAGGAAAAATTGTTAATAATTTCAAGTAAGGTTATTTCAAGGAACATTTACACTTGTTGAAATTTAAAAAGAAAAGAAAATTGTAACGGAAGAATGCAAGCCCCTTTAAATTATCAGGCCCAAAGAAACACTGGAATGAAACAGCAGCCATGTCTCACTCCCACCTTGAGCTAAATAATCACCTCAAAGCCACCTGCTATGTGAGCTCTAGTCTAACCAACACCAGGTAGCCATAAAACATCAATGCTGGACATTATAACTCAGACTCTGTAGTTTAACAATGCATATCCAATAAATAATGTTATTTCTGTAAATCAGGAAGAATTTCTGACAAGCACCCTTTGTAATTACTTCCTTTTCTGATTCCTCAGTTTTTAAAAAAAATAAAAATCTTGAGCCTTTTCTTTGTTCTCCCAGAGCACTCCCCAAGGCAACTTGGAAGTGTGTCCAGGACAGCTGTCCTCAACCTTACCCCAAATAAACACTCTATATTAATTTTGCCTCAGCTTCTTTATTCAACAAAATAAAGTTCTATAATTGTTGGCCAAAGGCTGGCCACGTTATGAATAAATGGTTATAAGATAGGCCTTTAGTGACAAAAGTGAAAAGAACCTTACGGAGTTCACATCTAGGAGGAAAGGATGCTTGAACAGTGAGAACTATCAGTAATCAGGACACCTTCAAGGTGTATAGCTTTATGTAACTCAAGCAATGTTGCTAAGGAATAGGTCACACTGTTCTCATTTCAAAGCTGAGAAAACTAAGTTTAGAATGCTCGAATAACTCTCCCACCTTCCAAAAGCTAAGAGAAACAGCGGTGTCATTAGCTGAATTCAGGTCTATCAGGCACACAGTGCTCCTGTCCTTCCCTTCCACTCTTTTGTTTTTCCAGACAGGGAAAATCTAGACTACTTGATGTCAATTGAGGGTCACAAAAAGGGTCCCTTGAGTTGATGTCAATTGAGGGTCACAAAAAGGGTCCTTTGAGTTGATGGTCTGAACCATTAACTTAAATAGCATTCTGAGAGGAAGAAAATTCCATCGTTCAAGGGAATTCATCAGAATGTCTAGCTGCCTGTAATCAGAGAGCAGGGCTCAGGGGAGTGAAATGCAGGGCAAGGTTGTCTTGATGAAAGAAGGAAACTTAAGTGTCCATGGCTCTGCTCAGGGTTGACAATCTTAGACGAAGCACCTTGTGGAAGACCTTCGATGTACCCTAAAAGGGGATGAAGATGCTGGTGACAGATGATGAAGGGGAACTCTAGTATGCTTTTGCAATACTGGGAAGATTTCCTCAGATCTCAGATACATTCACCTGCCCTTCATATTGAATCAGGAGAAACTGTGAATGTGTTTTGTAAAGATGAGATTAGGCTCATCGCTGCCTGACTTGGAGAAAGTAATGGTATGCTTTATTTGTGAGAATAAAAAATACTGCTTTACCATGTATTATATGCAATAATATTGCTGGCTTTTGTGTACAGTGGAACAGGGAGTTACTTCCGTCTTTCACATAAAATGTAACTTGGACACTATCACAGCTTGATTTATAATTATTTTATGGTAATGCACAAAATAGAAAAAAAGAAATTATGCCATTAAAGCAATTACTTTAATAATTATTAAATGGTGAATACCTATAAGAAGCATTAATATTTATTTTAATTGGGAAGGAGACCTAATTATAAATTGCCTAAATTTAATTTTCGTGCTTGTTTTTACATCAGAAATACTATATTCGAACATCCTTAACTTTTATCAAATTTACAAAAATTATAAATAGCCTCATCTCATATTTCTAATGTATCTCAATAGAGAATAAGGAATAAACATCTCTCAAGGTGAAGTGAAAAGTCAGTCAGAATTTTGTACCTCCAATTATAGAAAACAGCAAAGCACAAAGAATAGTGGTAAGTACCAGTATTAAAATTTACGTAACGTTGAGAGGAATAGGTAAAATTACTCATTTTAAGATGATAAATTTGAGTCCTGTAAAGTTCAAATAACTTTGCTATAGGAACATTTATTTTCAACAACAATCTTATAAAGGAGAAGTGTAATTTATTCTTAAAGCAATTCAGCACATTTCCATTGGTTAAAACCTAAGCTCCCTGCAATAAGCCAATCTGGTCCTCTGTCTTTTTTTAAATGCACAATAATGCTATTTGATCTCTTAGAGATGTGCCTTAGGGTTGTGACTTAACCTGGGCATAGGAGAAATGACAGCATGACTAGCGTCAACTGAAAGCTCACTATCTCGTAACTCTATTCATCTGAGCTCAAAAATAAGCCCTCAGTAGACCATGAAAATTGCTCTCAGAAAACCCCTGAAGAATTTGAAGGGAGAATTTAATAATCAGTCGTTATATTAGCTACCAGGTTGTCTAGATGCAATATGTGGTAGAATGGGTGGCCTTGTCTATCTTGTCCATTATATCCCTAGCACCGAGACCCTAGTAAAGAGAAAGTTTACATGTTTATGTACTTAATATTGGGTGAATGAATAAATGTGACAGTATTAGGAGGCATAGGGAATGAGCTGAATAACATCACAAAATCCTTCACGCCTAAGTGATCAAATTCTCACCATTTTCCATGAGGATTAGGTATCAGGAATTTCATCTGAACCATTGTTCAGTTATCACTCCCTTTTCCTCAGGGCTTATCAAATATTAGTGGCAATAAGAAGTTAGAACAATAAAGGGAAATATTACAAGAATATACAATTTTTTGGCTCAGAAAATGTGTTCATTTTAAGTCCTTACCTTACACTAAATTGAAAGTATATTGCGTAGGAACTAAAATAAGAAGCAGATATAAGAGTTATTTACTGAGGACTTAAATAATCTTCCCAGTCATATCTAAAGAGTATTAGAATACTGACAAGGTATGAGAACATGAGATGGCAGAGCTAAGTATTGCCAAGAAGAGGGAGCAAATGGTACCCATACCTTGGTCTTACATTTAAAAATGATTTCTTTTGTACGTACCCTCTCTCCGATCATAAACGCACATACAGTGAGGATACATTAGATGTAAATGATGACTTCACTTTAACTCTTAGTTTGATCCTCTTGAAACTGAAATTGTCCTCTGCTACAAAGGCATCAGAATTTATTGAGAAGCGAACAGATACTTTTTGCAGTAACTTTAAGTAGTGATTCCACATGTATTGGAAGCCACTCATTTAGGCATTATGTGCCAGATAACTTTGGGTTGCCCCTGCAGATCGATTTTATATCCTGATACTTGCTCTGAGCTCCTTTGCCATCTGATGTCTGGTTATGTTCATTCAACAAGTAGCCCACCTAGGTTATGTGAGGAAGTTTGGAAAATGGGTCAGGGTATTTTAGAGTATTGATTCCCAGGGTAACTTTTTGTGGGGTCACTTCTGACTGGCTGTATCTTATAATTGAAAATCAATACTCCTTTCAATATTACACCTTCTATCTTTCTTTCTTGTTTAGAGTAGCCGTACCTTCACCTAGTCCATTTGGACCTTTGGACTCTGTTGTTATTAGCCCAAGTGTATTCTGCCATTGCTGATTATATGGGAACCCACCCTTTGTAAAGTGTCCTGTCTTTGCAATAGTCTCTTTTTAAATCCTTCCTGTTAAATATGCTATACTTCCTATGTCATGTTTTTTCTTCTGCTAACTTGACTGATAAACACTGAATTCTATTCTGTTTCAGAATCCTACTCTTTTATTTCTTTATTACCACAATAGTAACTTCTAGTTGAATACATGCATCTGAATTTTCAAGGGCAAAGGCTATGTTTAATATAGAGATTTTTGAATCACCAAGTGGTATTGGAAACATTTTACAGTACATAAAAGAAGTCAGAGATATTATCTAGATGATGAGAGAAAAGCTAAGAACAGAATAATTATAGAGTATTTACTGAGCACATTCTATGTTCCTTAGAGTTTTAAGTACTTTGCCTATTTAATTTGATTTAATCTTCAGAATTGTCTGAGGTAGATATTATCACTACATCAGTTTTACAATTTAGGAAACAAAGTTCCCAAGTGATTAAGGAACGTGTCCATGTCACCATCTAGTAAGTAATGGAAATCTAGATACAAATCCAAGTAGTCAGACAATTGTGTTCTTGATATCTGCACAATATCACCCATGCACTGACATAATGCTTGGAAGCATGAATGGTTCCAACATTTTCCAACAGGCAACTTAGACACAATATGTTCATTATTTAGCCTTTTTTTACCTTCATGATTTTTTGTCAATTAGTACTTCCACCCAATCGCTGAAAATACAATCCTGATTCTTTCTTTATTTCCAATTATTTCCACTTTATCTTTACTACCACAGTGGTAGTTTAGGCCTTTGTCATTTCATTTCACCCACGGATTACTGTCTATGACAGGATCAGCAGTTAACATGAATTTGCTGAATGAATGCATGAATGAGAATGCTAGAAAAGGCTCGTAAAACCAACCATGATCTCAGGAATCAAACTTTGTCTCAAGATGTACATGTGTCATCATTAAAAAGTGTTTCTTAGATGTCAGTATGCATTTTGAGGCTGTAGAAGGTAGGGAAGTGGGCTGGGCACGGTGGCTCATGCCTGTAATCCCAGCACTTTGAAAGGCCGAGGCGGGTGGATCACGAGGTCAGGAGATCGAGACCATCCTGGCCAACATGGTGAAACCCAGTCTCTGTTAGAAACACAAAAATTAGCTGGGTGTGGTGGCGCATGCCTGTAGTCCCAGCTACTCAGGAGGCTGAGGCAGGAGAATCACTTAAACCTGGGAGGCAGAGGTTGCAGTGAGCCGAGATCATGCCACTGCACTCCAGCCTGGGCAACAGAGTGAGACTAAATCTCAAAAAAAAAAAAAAAAAAAAAAAAAGGTGGGGGGCGGTAGGGCAGTGCATGAAGTAGTTCAGGACACAGCAGTAGTCATTTGTATGCTACATCTGTTTTCCTGCGAACATAAAATGTTTTAAATAAAACTCATCATTTAAGGATATATTAACAGTTACTTTCAAGAAAAGGTGCTTCTTTAAAGTACACATATCAAAGCACAAAGCTGAGAAATGAATATATATTTTAAAATATGGTCAGAAATTTGAAAGCTAATTTATGGAAAGGTGGCAATAGAAAATTCTCTCCCAAGATGCTGCGCTTTGTAGAATGTTCAGAGTTCATTAGAATCTGTAAGTCAATGCATTTATTGAGCACAGGGATTATTTGCTTTTGTTTATAAATATAGGATATTGAAGCGGCTGGGTTGTCTAGGGTGTATACCCTGGGGTTTGTTGTCACATGTCAGGAAAATTTAGAACATGGGCACAGGAGGAATTGAGCAACAGAGGTTTAATAAGCAGAAGAGAGGAGAAAGAGAAACAGCTTTCTCTATGGAGAAAAAGGTCTCTCAGTGGAAAGGACCAGCTGATGGTGAATGCACCGAAATTTCTATGCTAGTTTGAGGAGGCAGTGTCTGATTTACATAGGGCTCACAGGTTGGTTAGATCAAGTTTGACATTTACATAGTGAGTGGGGAAGGTTGGTCGCCCCACCGTAATCTTATTATGTAAATTGGCTTTCCAGTTGATCAGCGCCATTTTGTCTGCTCTTTATAGTACATGTGGTTGACAAGGGAAGATGGAGTCGCCATCTTGAACATGTCTAGTCCTAGTTCCTGCTGGCATTCATCTGTGTAAGCTCCCAGCCTGCTTGTCTATGTCTGCAGCTGGACTTCACAGGCTGCTTTTTGTTAGAAAATGATTGGGGCTGGTTTTCATTAAAGAGAAAAGCCTTACTGAGGACTCCCATATATTTACTATCTGCCAAAGTGATTTCTTCTTAACTCTTATATCAATATCGCACTACTTTATCCTTTATACGTATCAGACAAGCATATTGGACTTCAGAAAACATAGATATATTTTTTAAAGGATAATTCATAGGCACTTCTTTATACGTGCCTTTCATATGGCTCCCACAGAAATCACTACCTGGAATAATTACTGAGGGTATTACCAGTACAGTTTGAGTTCTATCTCCTGAAAATTATAAAAATTAATTAAGTACAAAGTGTAATAAAAAGTAAGCTAACAGTTTTCTATTTAAAAGGGTAAAAATATAAACTCTAACTTTATTTTAATATTTTATTAGAACATAAAGATAACAAATACAAACTACAGCTCATGTGCAAATCTCACTTAGAATTTGATATTTTCAAGTTAAAAGTCTTAAATATGCATGTATTAGCCAAAGAAAAATTAATGATAAATATGCATATTATTAAATCACATATAGTTTTATTATAATTTGCTAAGTCCAAAAATAATTGTTCTGTTTTTATATGGATATAGTATTCATTTATTCATGTATTTCAAGTAACCATAGTTTATCTGCCTATGTTATAAAATGAATAAAAATAGACCTGGTACCAGTGTGCAAAGCAGGACTGTTCTAAGGTGTATGTACATGGACCCCTATATCTGAAATGAATATAGTACAATCTGCTTTGTTATCTCTGGGCATTCCAATTTTCCACATCAGCAAATACCGTATTTCTACTCTTGTCTTAATTTGGCAATAACCAGCCTTAAACTCATTCATATCATTTTGATTACCATGGGCTCCTCAGTTCAGTGATGATTAAAACTAGCTATGCTATCTAGAGAATCTTACTAAATTTGAGAATCAATTTTTCATACCATCTAAAAGCTAGAAGGCCACCTATTTTAGTTTAGCTACAATATGAGAAAAAATTTCAGCAGTAAACTTTGAGTAGAAAATTGGTTCTAATATGAGAAAATAGAATGAAGTGTGAGTAAAGAGAACAAGCTATGCATTAAAGTGTAGCTATTATTGAATTAAAATAACTGATAATTTTTTTTGTGATTTATCTGAAATATTATATTTAAGAGATTAAATAAAGACAGAAACCTGGGGATCATTTAAGCTTTCTCCATCTCCCCTTGCTATAGTTTGGATCTGTGTCCATACTCAAATCTCATGTCACATTGTAATCCCCATTGCTGGAGATGGGGCTTGTTGGGAGGTTATGAGAGCATGGGTGTGAATCTCCCCGTTTGTACTGTCCTTGCAATAGTGAATTTTCTAAAGAGGATGTGGCAGGAGCAGGACATGGCAGGAGCATTTAAACAACTTAAAAACAACCAGTTGCAAAGCTCCACCATTGAAAGCTTCCTGAAACCTCCCCAGAAGCTGCTATGCTTCCTGTACAACCTGAAGAAATGTGAGCCAATTAAATTGCTTTTCTTTATAAATTACCCAGTCTTGTGTATTTCTTTATAGTAATATTAGAACAAACTAAAACACTCCCGTTCGTCACTATATCCCTAAATCCAAGCGATCACATAATAATGTTTTCTCTGCCTTTTAATGCATTAATTCATACCCATCTATGCAATACTGGGCTGATTTCCTAACTGGTGCCTTGTCCAATAATATGGCTTCTCCTCTAGCCACACTTCCTACTTCTGCCCCTGAACATAGTACTCCCTGCCTGAAAAATATCAGTAGTCCTTATGGGCCGGAATACAAAATCTGGGTTACAACATTAATCTTTTTTGATACATATGGAATCTCTTAGTATATAGGTATACAACATAGACCAAAGTCTTAACAATGACTTTATCTTTATGCATGAATTTTTTCTTTGTTTCTTTGTTCTTATTGTTTATATGTGTAATAATTGTATACAACTTTTATAAGAAGGAAAAAAAAATCCAAGTTAAAGAAGTTTTAACTGTCAGAAGACTGAACCTATTTGGGAATAAATGTTTTCATTGATGATGACAGAAGATCATTTTGTTTGGCCAGTCTTACTTTTTCCATTCTCAAACCTGGCATTACATCAATCCATTTTCAGATCACCCCTAGAGCCTTAATTAAGGACATATGTAATTGGGTTGGTTGCTTTAGCCCTAGAGACTTACTATGGAGTTGTGTTTGAGATAGGAGTCACTTAATGTTATGTTTTATTTAGTTTTCTGAATCTGGAAGTAGGTCAGAAGTTTATTTTATTTGCTATGCTTTTTCATTGGATATCCCCCCAACCTATTCTTCCTTCTTAAATGAACGTGTAAACTTTATTTCTCTGATTTCTCATGAGTGGTGTCAAAGTTGGACATTTTACTATTTTAAAAATACTTTTAAAATATTTAAAGTTAATCAATATCTCTATAATCTTCTAGAAAAATATACACGCTTTAGAATATTGCTCACCAGATATTTTGCTAATATACTGCCAATGAAATTGTGAAAAATTATGCATACTTAGAATATTATTAAGTCAGCATCTAAATATTTTCATATAATTTAAATAACTTCAAAAGGTGCACTTTGTGTCAACCTAAAATGACTGCAATCTTATTTTATATGTATATAGTAAAATCTACATGCCATACTGTTTCAATGCTTACCATGATCTATTGTTTTTAAAAAAATTTTAAATCAGAATTTTTCAGTGTTTCTTTTATTTGAACTTTCATGTAAATTTCATGTTCCTTATGGAATTTATCCTCTGTGTTTAAAAGTCTTTTATTTATCTACATATATATGCAAATTTAATTTTTAAATTACTAATATTTGTCACCATTAGTGCTCTAAACATGATTTTTTCTTATGAACTGATTTATTATTACAATTATTAGAACACAGTTGATTAAAGCAATGTAAATATAGTACGTATTTTAATATGAAATTATTAAACAAAATAATATTTTATTAGAAACAAATTTTAATGAGAACATGTTATTGCCCTTTCTATATGCCATGTATCCAAGGATGATTATTACTTATTGCTAGAATAAAATAAAAATCAGCATCAATTTTATTAATATGATTTGCTTTTATGGCTACAAATTCTATGTCCTAAATAAATAGATGTCCTGGGAATGGAATTTTTATTTAATGGCAATAAAATTCATAGTCTATTTATCATCAAAGTTATTTTAAAGTTCTACAAACGGATAACTCATTTTGTTTTTTTCTTCAGTCTTGCAGGAAGAAAATAACTGTAAACCCCTACTTACAAAAATCCCCCGTCTTCGTTTCTCAATACTCACACCGTTTTTAACTTGTCATTTACTTCATACTGTGAGAAGTTCTGATACCCTTGGTCAGTGCTTTACAATTAGTTTCATATGGCTTTAGGCAGATCAATTTTGAGAAAACTAAGACACTAGACAACAATAACAAACACATTCTCAAATATTAGTCATAGTTATTTTTTTTAAATTGAAAAATACTTGCTCAGTTTTAGCCAGATGTTTGCTCTTTGCGAGTTTCTTCATTCTCATTTCCTCTTGCCGCTTAACACTTCTTGGGCATATTTTTCTTCTTACTAAAACATATTCTTAAGTACTAATTTTCTACAAGAGTCTATAAAGACAAATTCTCTAAGCTTTTGTCTAAGACGATCTTTATTTTTCACCCTGATTAGAGTTTCAGGTTTGATACATTCCGTTGTTTTAGGCATTACAAAAGTCTTTTGTTTGTGATTATCATGACTTTTGTTAGCCTATTTTTTTTTTTTTTCCTGTCAGGTTAGTTTGTGATTTTCTCTTTGTCTTTCATGTTTAGCAGTTTCAGCATGATGTCTACTTTCAGTATGCTTATATTATTTTCTACTTTGAACATGATTTACTTTTTTAATCTGAGTACTTATATTTTTCTTTATTTCTGAAAAATTCTTACATGTTATTGATAAAATATTACTTTTCTTCTATTTTCTCCTACACTCTTACTGGAAACTTTTCAAATTATACTCTCAGTCGTTTTGCCTTTTCATTTATATTAATATGTCTCTATATCTCTGTACTACATTGTCAGTGATTTCTCCAAGTATATTGTCCGGTATTCTAATACTCACCTCAACAGTATTTAATCTGCCACATAGCTGATCCACTGAGTTTTCTTCTATGAATGAATCTATTTTTCATATCTAAAAATTAAAATTGGTGGTTTTGAATGTCTCCTACTTTATATCTCATAGTGTCTTTTATTTATATTATGCTTTTTTCTTGTCTGTGAAATAGATTTTAAAAGATATTTATTGTACAATGTTATTCAGATAATTTTAAAGTATTTTATTTGAGGTATCTTTAATGCTAATTCCTTTGTTTTTCAAATAACCTCAATCTCTTTCACAGTGCTTCATTTTCTTTTTTTTTTTCTTTTTTATTAATTTTTGAGCTTTTATTTTAAGTTCAGGAGTACATATGCAGGTTTTTTACATAGTAAACTTGCATCATGGAGGTTTGTTGTACAGACTGTTACATCATTAATAACTCCATCATTGCTTGTTCATCTTCAAGGATTTGCCACCCATTCTTTGACTTTGGAAAGCTAAAATTGGAGTTTATTCTATCTGAACTATAGGGCTTTTATTTTCCTGGCCTGGTTTCAACATTTATTTTTCAGGTTGAAGTTCTCGTACCATAAAAATTCTGATATTTTACTCATTCGTTGCTGAGACCAGTGAATTTTATTTCTCATAGTGTATGTGCATATTTATTTTAAAATTAAAATCATCAGATAGATGGTATAATCTCTCACCATTTTCCAGGCCAACAGAAAAAATATTCTCCTAATCTGTCTCTCTCTCTTTTTTTCATTCTTATAGCAAAGTGTTTTGAGTCACAGGCATTGTTGACCAATTCTCTTTTCTCTGGGTGTGCCAGATGCCCAGCTCCTAGGCCTCAGCACCTATATCTTCATTTCCTGTTCCACATGGCTGCAACTGTGATATTTTATTTTTGAAATTTTGTCTTTGATCTCTTTTTGTCCTTGGAAATTAGGATTTTTTTAACTTTTTTTCGTATCAGGCAATATATATTTTAAATGATATGTTTTATTCTTTTCATCTCTAGGACCAAACTTCCAGTTGCTTAATAATGCATTTCACTTCAAATTTACCATTTTACATCAAATTGTTCCTTTTCCTGAATATCTTACTCCTACTAAAGACCATACTGCACAGTCACCTTGTGTGTTTTTCTTACAATTTTATATTGTGTATGATTAATCACAAGGTTCTACAGATTCTACATTTGGTAAGCCACTTTCATCTTTCCATTTCTTTCATTCCACTTCTCTCTCTTCTATCCTCATTATCTCTCATTTCAGGGTTTTGATACATTTATTATTTGTATTCTAGAATGATCTTTGTGTTAAATAGCTAAAAATGCAAAGACCAGATGAAGACTAAAACTCATTGTAACCTAAATAGAACCTTAATGGGAGTAATTGGTAAATAACAATAATAAAATTATATATTTTTAAAATATGTATTAATTGATTAATGTACTTTTTGTGCTCCTCAACATATAAAATATTTTTATTCAGAAAAGTGTTTTTAAAGTGCCATCCAAAAATATAAAAATTGCAAATATTCATTTAAAATAAAGCAAAATATCACATCTTTATTGTCTTAATATTTAAAAACCTTAAAAGCAGAATAATAACTCTTGCAACATTTAAAATAAAATTACCAGCAATGATCTTCAAATTGTAATTACAGTGAATGAATGTGAACACTTTAAACTGATTCTGAATATAGTAATATTTTTGACAAGTAAAGGTTTTTGACAAGAGGTAAATTTAAATTATACTACATAGTGGATATTTTTAATTTTAGTTTTTTGTTCAGAAACATACATGTGACTTGGCATTGTGGCTCACACCTGTAATCTCAGTGCTTTGGGAGACCAGGATGGGAGGATTTCTTGAGGCCAAGAGTTCGAGGCCAGTCTGGGCAACAGAGCAAGACACTGTATTTCCGAAAAACAAATTTAAAGGTTAGTCGTGTGTGATGGTGCACACATGTAGTCCTAGCTACTCAGGAGGCTGAGGCAGGAGGATCACTTGAGGCCAGGAGTTATGATTGAACAACTGCATTTCAGCCTGAGCCAAAGAGTGAGACCCTGTCTCTATAAAAAAGCAAACAAACATAAATGTGTTTTCACATTTTTAACTCCATTCAGCATAGCCTTCCTCAGTAAGTACTTTACTTTGGCAAACATCAAATCTTTCAACAAAACTAGATTCTATGAAATTCTAGCCTTCGCCATTTTATTCTATTATTAAACAATATGAACTTAATTCAAAATACAAGATTCATCAAAATATGCTAACTAGAATTCAAGATACTCCAAAATACCATTATAGAATTTTAATATTAAAATATACACACAACTTGAATTTTTCTTGTCTAATTCTGTCTTGCATGTATAGGCATTGATTTTAGTATTCTGTTTCTAAGCTTGGTTTTTAAGATTTGTAATTAAGATTTTTGAAATATGAACTTCTGGCAGCCCATTTCTATAATAATGATTAAAGCTTTATAATTGCTTTTGAACAAAATGTAAACCAAATTTAGAGAAATAATTTATTTTACAAAGTTTTTGAAAATATACAACATAGAAGTTGAGTTACAAACCACTTTACAGTGCCTGAAACATTTCTAAAAACTGTTTGATGATTAGAGAAAAAGAAAGAAAATGTGAACTGCTGGAGCAAGTATATTTTTATGTGTGTTCAGTATCAGATTTGTACAAATATACAACTGTTGCAGCCACAGCTTCTAATCCGCTTTCTAGAACTTCAGAGCTTTTTGGATTAAAATATTAATTTTGTGTGGACCACAACCAGTTTTATGTGTATTTCTCTTTCATAGACTTTTCAATTACTAAGAATGTTTTTTTTTTTTTTACCATGATGCAGTCAAAAGATTTTTATCATTGATACTGAAGTTTTAAACAAAATTTATCATAGCAGGTGCAATTATATCAGGCATTCAACCTTCAATAAGTGTTGATTTGACTCCATGTTCTCCCTTCACTTTCCTGAGAAATGCAAGTGTAATATGGTTGGGCCTCTGTATTTGTGGATTCTGCATTTATATATTCAACCAACCGAAGACTGAATATATTTGGAAAAAATATTTAGAAAATAAAAACAAAACCCCACAATAAACAATAAAGAATAATAGACATTAAAAGTAGAGTATAACAGCGATTTACATAGTATTTACATTGTATTTGGTATTATAAGTAATCTAGAGATGATTTAAAGTATAGGAGAGGATATGTGTAGGTTATTTGCAAATACTATGCCATTTTACATAAAGGATTGAACATCTGTGAATTTTGATATTCTGGAGGATCCTAGAACCAATCCCTGTCAGATACTAAGGAGTGAGTGTATTCGATTTGTTATTAAACATGCATTTTAGGTTTCCTTAACATTCTTCCTGGATTTTGTTTTTTTGTTTTTGTTTGGTTGGTTGTTCTCTGTTCTTTTTTCTTTCTTTAATGTATTACTTTTAAAGTAAATAAAAGTTTTGATTTACCTCATAGTATAAGTTACAAAATCACTGTACCAAGACCCCATGGACTATTATCTCTACACTCAAAGTCAGAATGACTTAGCCTTGGTTTCGTTCATGGACCCACTTTGTTGTGTTTTCTAACTTCATTCTATCGATAGCCTGGGCAGCTTGGTGCATTTTGAAAGGTATGGTGTGGACCATAGCACAACCACCTGGTAGACTAAGTGGCCAGTGAGGGCATCATTATAATATACTTTTCCACTACTACCCTAGAATTAATGGTTTTAATTGCTTGACCCTAGTGGCATGTATCCTAGAGTGTTTTATTTTATTTACACACACCTTGCATATTCCTCAAAAGGGGCTTCTTAGTTAACTTACAACTAGAAATTGCCTCCTTGGTCTACTTGGGAGGATTCTCTTAATAGTGTACTGGAGCTGGTTCACACCAGTTCATGAGTCCACCTGTGCGCATCTCTCTCAACTCCATGTTCACTAATCTATGAAGAGAGCTTGAAATCCCCTATCGTGAGAGCATTTACAGGAAAATCACCAAACGATACAAACCAGTCACCCCAATTCCTACACACAGTTGTTAATCATCTATCAGCACATCACTAAACTCAACTCTACATAGCTTCTTCATCATGAAAACTATGGGATATATTAGTTCTTGCTATCTTCATTCCCCAAGCAAGATTCAGGAGTCTTTATAAAGGTGTTTTTGCCAGCACAAGTCCTCTGACGTAACATTTTCAGTTAGGACTGCTTTAATTAATTTTGCTCAACTGGGACTTACAAATAAGAATTGCCAATTAAAAATAATACAAGGAGGCTGGGTGCAGTATCTCACGCTTGTAACCCTAGCACTCTGGGAAGCCAAGGCGGGCGGATCACTTGAGACCAGGAGTTCAAGACCAGCCCGGCCAACATGGCAAAACCTCGTCTCTACAAAAATTAGCCGGGTATGGTGGCATATGCCTGTAATCCCAGCTACTAGGGTGGCTGAGGCAGGACAATTGCTTGAGCCTAGGAGGTGGAGGTTTCAGTGAGCTGAGATGGTGCCATTGCACTCCAGCCTGGGCAACAGAGTGAGACTTTGTCTCAAGAAATAAATAAATAAATAAAGTAATCATAATACAAGTAATTAGACATAGCTAAAGGATTATTTTTTAAATAAAATATTTCCCTATAACAACCAATTATCTTTCAATCTATTCTAAAACCTCTTTCCAAGTTAAATTTCTCAAAACATAGTATTCCATGGTGTATTTGTGCCACATTTTCTTAATCCAGTCTATCGTTGGTCGACATTTGGGTTGGTTCCAAATCTTTGCTATTGTGAGCAGTGCCGCAATAAACAACTGTGCAGCCATAAAAAAATGATAAGTTCATGTCCTTTGTAGGGACATGGATGAAGCTGGAAACCATCATTCTCAGCAAACTATCGCAAGGACAAAAAACCGAACACCGCATGTTCTCACTCATAGGTGGGAATTGAACAATGAGAACACATGGACACAGGAAGGGGAACATCACACACTGGGGACTGTTGTGGGGTAGCGGGAGGTGGGAGGGATAGCATTAGGAGACATACCTAATGCTAAATGACGAGTTAATGGGTGCAGCACACCAATATGGCACATGTATACATGTGTAACCTACATGTTGTGCACATGTACCCTAAAATTTAAAATATAATAATAATAAAATTTAAAAAAAGAAAAAAAAGAAAATTCAAAATATTCTGTTAAAAAAAAAATCTCAAAACAAATTTGGAGCGTGTTACTTAATGCCTGTAAGTTCTGTAGTTTCTCCACTCTTCCTGCCAAATAATGCTCAAACCTCTTCGCTGAGTTTTGAAGGTCCTCAGTGGTCTGGCCTACATTCAACTGTACAGTCCCTGATCTTACAACCTCACTAAATTGTTTCTAAAACTAGAGGACCATTTTCCGCTGAATATGTTTCACTCTTTCCCAACCAGTGTTTGCTCTTAACATTCTCTATACCTGCAGCACATTTTTTTGTCACTTCTCAAAATTTAATTATAGTGGAAATGCGTTAGTGTGAAGTGATCTTTACCTCCTGGGAGCACCTTAACATTTAATTCACATGTTCTTTTTTGCTGTTTAACATCTACCATTGGTATTATTGTGAGGCTACATGTCTTTTTACTAGTCGTGTTATTTGCTATCCAGAGTGGGACACTTTGAAGCATGAAACTAATTAGCCTGGAACATCATATGTAACCTGAGATTATATACAGGGCAAATTGGGACATATGGTCACTCCATCATTAGACTTCTTTCCCATAATTATAAACTTCGTTAAGTAGTGATAAAATCAGCATAGAAATTCGATGTGTGTTTATTGAATGATAATTTAGCAAAATGTCTCTTATCAGTATTTCTTCAAAATCAGAGCTTTGTATTCTTGACATTTTAATTAATTATTCACATTAATTGGTTTTATATAACTAGTTTTGAAATGGTTCATATAGAACAGGAACTTCAGCTTGATTTATAGCATAGCCTTCTGATATCTACTGCAGACTTTGTATTTGGTGAATGGCTGGGCCAGACCCAACAGATGCCATTCTTCTTATGATTGGGGACAATTTTGGGAACAAAACATGAGCTGTATCTCTATTGGGCTGTATCTAGGCGTGTGAAGTGGTGGCATGCTTCCACATATGTTTTCTCTCAGGGGACAGAGCAGCTTTTTGCGGGAGAGAAGTGATTCTAAGAGAAGAAATAACTAGGTATGATTAACTATACCTAGTACCAAAGCTTTAGTTACTGGAGGTCAGTAACCATTGGAGTACAAGAGTCTAGCAGTTTGGTTTGAATTTGTTCTCTGACAAAGACCACTGGTTACTCCTGTGTTTTTCAAAGGAATGAGAGAGCCATAAGCAAACATTACAAAACTCTTTCATTAAAATCACCCAAGTATTCAATACTTTGCCCATTCACACTAGTGTGGCATATTTGTTAATCTTGATGTTCTGAGCACTTACCTTATCACCTAGCAAAAATTTGAAGTTCTTCTTTAACCCTCAATCTCAAATATTCTCGAACGTCCCCAATAATGATTGTGTGGCACATATTTTTCATCACTTTAAGGGTCCTATGTGAGCTGGTATGTGCCTTAGGAGTTTTAGGGGAGGGAGTTGCTGACTCATATATAATCATCCCACATTTAGCTTGCACCTGCTCTGTGCCAGGTGATGGTCTATGTTCTGTGATATGGTATTGTGTTTTTTTTTAAATTTTTTTGTTAGTGACCATCAGACAGGTCTGTATATTTCTGAGGCCTCAGTTTTGAGTCTGAGTTCATTCCCACAGGCTTTGGGCCTTACGCAAACAATCAATACTGGTGCAGACCGAAATCTCTAGGATGTAAAGAAGTTTTGTAAATATTCTTTAGTTAGAATCCTCTTCTGCTCCAGCTACACAGAAGAGCTCAAGGGGGTGATGATATCTAATTTCATTGTCAGTTTGGCAGAAACTCTACTGGTTTAGCAGAAAAAATTTGTTCCACAAACAGTACATCCCTGTGGTCCCTTTCATCAGTGTGTAGTGAAAAATGTTAGAGGAAGTATTCATTTTTCCTGCCGCTTTCACTGAATACTCTTTACAATAAATTTCAACAAGAGTTAGCAAGGTAAAGCTCCGGAAATGACAAAGCTAAACATGGAACAAATTTGACCAACAAGGAACTAATCTCCTCATAAGCTGAGAAGGCTGGTGAAGTATAAGAAGCAGCTAAAAATCATAGCAGAAAAATAGAAGCATCTTTGAGGGAAAGATGACTGTGAAACAATGAATTAGTGTGCATAAAGCCTAGGGCTTTATTAAAGTTTTTTGTTTGTTTGTTTTTTGTTTTTTGTTTTTTTTTTGAGACAGGGTCTTGCTTTTTTCCCCAGGCTGGAAGGCAGTGGCGCAATCATGGCTCACTGCAGCCTCGACCTCCTGGGCTCAAGAGACCCTTTCACCTTAGCTTCCCAAGTAACAAGTAGCTGGGACTACAGGTGCACGTGACTACACCCAGCCAATTTTTCATTTTTTTTTTTGTAGAACCGGGGTTTCATCATGTTGCCCAGGCTGTTCTCAGACTCCTGGGCTCAAGCGATCTGCCTGGTTGAGCTTCCCACCATACTGGGATTATAGGCATGAGTCACCGTGCCTGGCTGCTATGGGGCTTTAATATGTTTTGGAAGTATTCTTAGAGGACAGGGAGTTATATGGGAATGAGGGGGCAGGAAGTGGTAAAATATGGATTATCATCTTTTATGACACCCCATTATTAATATCAGGATGGCTGGACCTGAATAATTTCTGATTGTAGAAGGTTGTATGTTTTTATATTCAGAATTTCTTTCTAACTCTACTCTCTCTGAACCTTCCTAGCTGTTGCTAAGGATTGAATTATATATGTCTTTGTTCAAGAAGCTTTGTAATGGCCTCTGGCCAAAAACATTAGAATTCCTACTTGACCATTAATAATTAACACAGCCATCCATATATCTAAATCCTTTGTATCTTTAGGCTGGTTCAAATTTTATCAAATTTTACAAAGGTATTTTTTTTTTACTACTTTTGCTAATTATGATCAAGTCAGATGAAAAGATAATGTGAGTCAGAAATTGACCCTAGTTAAGGGTGGAAATAACTGTATGTGCAGGAAAGAATATGCTAAGAACGATTAGGAATACGCATAGTGTGTTTAAAATGGTTATCTCAGGATATTGGAATTAAGAACATGAAAGGTAGTTTTACTTTTTACTTTACACAATTACACAATTTTTTTTTTTGTTTGTTTGTTTGAGACAGACTCTCACTCTGTTGCCCAGGCTGGAGTGCAGTGGCATGATCTCAACTCACTGCAAGCTCCGCCTCCTGGGTTCAAGTGATTCTCCTACCTCGGCCTTCCAAGTAGCGAGTAGCTGGGACTGCAGATACGCACCACCATGCCCAGCTAATTTTTCTATTTTTCATAGAGACTGGGATTCACCATGTTGGCCAGGGTGGTCTCGACCTGTTGACCTGACGATGTGCCTGCCTTGGCCTCCCAAAGTACTGGGATTACAGGCATGAGCCACCACGCCTGGCCTACATTGCACAATTCTTTATTTGAACTTTGATGCCTGTATTTCTTAGATGAGAGTAAAAGGCAAAATGAATTGATAAAGTGTTTAAAATACATTGAATTTAGAACAGTCACTAGCCACGTGGAAAACATATTTTGATAACCTTTCATCATATTGCATATCAAAATAAATTCCAGATGGATCAGAGTATAAGTTTATCTATGACATTCAACACTAGAAAAATATAGGTGATTATCTAATATTGATTGAAGAATGCCTTTAAGAAAAAGAAAAAGCATCAAAGAAATGAAAGAAAGGAAAACATCAATGGATGTGACAGTGTCTGTACTATAATAACCAAAACCTATAGACTGAAAAAATATTCACAAATAAGTTGACATGTGAATGTTAAAGTACTATATAAAGCTTGCATATATCAATTGGGGAAAATTCTCATGCCCCACTAAAATAATATGACTGGCTTACAGAAGATAAAATATAAATGCCCTGATAAGATCAGCAATATTAATATAGTCAGAAGTGAAGATTAAAACAACATTCTTGGCCGGGTGCCATGGCTCACACCTGTAATCCCAGCACTTCGGAGGCCGAGGTGGGTGGATCACCTGAGGTCGGGAGTTCAAGACCAGGCCCGGCCAACATGGTGAAGCCCCATCTCTAGTAAAAATACAAAAAGTAGGCGGGCGTGGTGGCACACTCTTGTAATCCCAGCTACTCTGGAGGCTGAGGCAGGAGAATCACTTGAACCCGGGAGGTGGAGGCTGCAGTGTGCTGAGATCGAGCCACTGTACTCCAGCCTGGGCAGCAGAGTAAGACTCTTTCTCCAAAATATATATGTATATATATATAATTTCAATATATTGTAGGGTAGGAGCTCCCATCCTGCAATCCTTGTAGTTTTAAATCTATAATAGTGTTTGCCTATTATTACATGCTTATTTATATAAACTTAGTATCGGTTGACTGTGTCTAAAAATAGTCTATTGATATTTTCTGTGGATTTCATGAATTTTATAAATGATCATAAGAAAATTTAATGTCTTCATGATATTGAGTTGTTTCCCTTGGGAGCAGGGGCTATGTCCATTTGCCCAAGATTATACCTGTGACTTAGAGTAGCGCTTTATAGTTTACCTCATATAGGTTTTGCAAATTTCCTATTATTTCTAACTACATTATCTTGTGCACTGCAATTGTAAATGGGGTTTTCTCTATCATTATATCATCTATCTACTTATTATTTGTGAAATCTATGAAGGCTATTGACTTACGTAAGTTAGTTTTATCTCCTGCTACCTTGTTGAATTTTTATCGTTACTTAAAATGGTGAGAAATTTTCATTGATTCTCCTGGGTTTCCTAGGTATATAATAATATCTTCAGCAAATAAAAATTGGTTAATATTTCTTTTGCAGTTAAGATTCTAATGGATTTTTTCCTACTTAAATTTGCTGATACCTCAGGAAGAATTATCAGTGGTAGTAAAAATAGTGTGCATACTATTTTTTCCCCATATAAGTGAAAATACTTTAGTTATTCTCCATTAATTAAGATTCTGGGATAATGATCAACTTAAAGGTATTATATTACGTAAGAAAGCATCCATTAATTCTTAATTTTTAACTTTTCTAAAGAAGCAATGTTGAGTTTGTAAAAAGCTCTTATAAGTCAAATAAAGATTTTTTTTAGGTCTGTTAATATGTATGACTTGTTTTTCCTCACACGTCTGACACTCAGTGTGCAGAGTTTATTCCCACATCAACCAATTCTGGGACACAAGCTGGGCATCTTACAATTAATTTAATTCTGACACTATTTACCTGGAGTTAGTGTCAGATCCCACAAGTTAAGGGCTCAGTCAGTCCCCAAGACTGTCCCTACTGCAGATGCCAATCGCAAATCCTAGGCTACCTATACTTGTGACCAACCAGCTATAAATCAAGGGTTCTCATGTCCTTCGCCCACTTTTTGATGGGGTTGTTTGTTTTTTTCTTGTAAATTTGTTTGAGTTCATTGTAGATTCTGGATATTAGCCCTTTGTCAGATGAGTAGGTTGTGAAAATTTTCCCCCATTTTGTAGGTTGCCTGTTTACTCTGATGGTAGTTTCTTTTGCTGTACAGAAGCTCTTAAGTTTAATTAGATCCCATTTGTCAATTGTGGCTTTTGTTGCCATTGCTTTTGGTGTTTTAGACATGAAGTCCTTGCCCATGCCTATGTCCTGAATGGTATTGCCTAGGTTTTCTAAGAAGACATTTATGCAGCCAAAAAACACATGAAAAAATGCTCACCATCACTGGCCATCAGAGAAATGCAAATCAAAACCACAATGAGATACCATCTCACACCAGTTAGAATGGCGATCATTAAAAAGTCAGGAAACAACAGGTGCTGGAGAGGATGTGGAGAAATAGGAACACTTTTACACTGTTGGTGGGACTGTAAACTAGTTCAACCATTGTGGAAGTCAGTGTGGCGATTCCTCAGGGATCTAGAACTAGAAATACTATTTGACCCAGCCATCCCATTACTGGGTATATGCCCAAAGGACTATAAATCATGCTGCTATAAAGACACATGCACACGTATGTTTATTGCGGCACTATTCACAATAGCAAAGACTTGGAACCAAGCCTAATGTCCAACGATGATAGACTGGATTAAGAAAATGTGGCACATATACACCATGGAATACTATGCAGCCATAAAAAATGATGAGTTCATGTCCTTTGTAGGGACATGGATGAAATTGGTAATCATCATTCTCAGTAAACTATCGCAAGAACAAAAAACCAAACACCGCATATTCTCACTCATAGGTGGGAATTGAACAATGAGATCACATGGACATAGGAAAGGGAACATCACACTCTGAGGACTGTTGTGGGGTGGGGGGAGTGGGGAGGGATAGTATTGGGAGATATACCTAATGCTAGATGACGAGTTAGTGGGTGCAGCACACCAGCATGGCACATGTATACATATGTAACTAACCTGCACAATGTGCACATGTACCCTAAAACTTAAAGTATAATAACAAAAGAAAAAAATAAAAACAAAAAAAATAAAAATAATAAAAAAAAATCAAGGGTTCTCAGGATACCCTTCTTGGGTTCCAGGATTTTATAAAATAACTCACATAGCTCAGGAAAGCAGTTTACTTCCTATTACCAGTTGATTATAAATTATGTGGCTCAGGAACAGCCAAATGAAGGAGACACATAGGGCAAGGTATGTGGCAAGGGGTACCTCTGCATGCACACCACCCTCCCAAACCTCCATGTGTTCACCAATGTAGAAGCCCTCTGAACCCCACTGTGTAGGGTTTTTATGGAAGTTCTATTAGGAAGCATGATTGATTACATCATTGGCTCTTGGTGATTACTCAATCTCAAGTCCCTCTCTTCTCCCTGGAGGTTGGGGAGTATGGCAGAAAGTTCCAACTCTCTAATTATATTGTTCGTTCTTCTTGCAACCCGGTCTATGCTGGGGCTATATAGGGGCCCATCAAGAGTCACCTTCTTATCATGAGCTCAGATATGGCGGAAAGGGGTTTATTGTGTATAACAAAAGGGGTTCCTCTCACCTCATCAATCAGGAAATTCAGAGGGCTTAGAAGTTCTGTGTTAGAAACTAGGAACAAAGACTAAATATGTATTTCTTATTATCACACTGTGGTATATTATGTTAATGGGTTTTCCAATATTTAACTGGCATTGCATTACATAAATAAATCCTAATTGTTTATGTATTATCATTTTTTCATGTAATGTTGAATTCTGCTAGCTAAAATTTTATCTAGGACATTTGACATGATATTTGTAGGTAATGTTGTTTGGTAATTTTCTTCTTTTATGGCACCTTTATCTGAATTAGATATTCATATTATGTGTTTGTTGCTAAAAAGAAGTTGGAATTTTCTCTCCTTTTTTTTAGCTTCTATGCTCTGGAACAACTTATGTAGCATTTGGAAGTATCTTTTTTGAAGGTTGGGTAGAGTCTTTGAAAAACCATCTGGGTCTGATTATTTTGTCAAAGTCTATTTCTTCTGTATAAGTTCATCTAAGCTTTCTATCTCTGATGAAGAAGTTAATTTCATGAACTGTGTTTCCCTGTTTAAGGATAAAGGTTAAATGTCATCTAACCTTTCAAATCTCTCTGCATACAGTGTTCAAAATAAAGTCATTTTGTATGTTTGTGTTGTTACAATAGTTATTTTTCCATTGTATTTTTTTTATTTTATTTTTTATTTTATTTTATTTTTTTGAGATTGAGTCCCGCTCTGTTGCCCAGGCTAGAGTGCAGTGGCACGATCTCGGCTCACTGCAACCTCCGCCTGCCAGGTTCAAGGAATTCTCCTGCCTCAGCCTCCTGTGTAGCTGGGTCTACAGGCGGCCGCCACCATGCCCGGCTAATTTTTTATTTTTAGTAGAGATGGAGTTTCACCATCTTGGCCAGTCTGGTCTCGAACTCCAGACCTTGTGATCCACCCGCCTCGGCCTCCCAAAGTGCTGGGATTACCGGCATGAGCCACCTCGCCTGGCTTTCCATTGTAGTTTTACGTTTTGTATCATTGTACTTATTTATGCTTTTTTCTCACCTGAATACATTAAGTTATAGTTTGTATGCAGTATTAAATTTTTCAGGGACCAGCATTTTGATATGATAATTTAAGCTTTCAATTTTCTGTTTTCTATCTCATAATTTCTGCTTTTATCTTATTTCCTTTGTTTTGGATTCCATTGGTTTATTTATTGTTCTGCTTCTGATTTTAATTTGGGAATTTAATTTATTCATTTTCATTGTTTCTGTTTAAGTACTAAACATACTGAAGGCTATAAACTTTATTTTGCTCAGTGCTTTAAATGTTTCCCATATGTTTGGGTATGAGGTGTTATTTTCCACAGTTGTGTAACTTTCATATATATGTTCTGTTTCAGCCATAAATCCAGGTATTGTTTAATAGGATTTTTTTAAAATTTCCATGTTGAAGTCTTTTAAAAATTCTGTTATTAATTTTAAATATTATTACATTGCAATCAGAGAGTTTTATTTTAATTATTCGACTTTATGCTACTTATGCTTTCTTTGTGACCTAATATATTATAAAGATCTAAATAGATAAATAGGTAGTTAGTCAACCTTCCTAATAATTATGTTCTTGATCATGGGATTTAGGCCTTCTTTATTCTCACATATATTTTTGGCCACTTGACCTTTCTTATACTCAGAGTGGTGTGTTAAAATATCTCCTTGTTAATGTGTTTCTACCTATTTCTCTTTGCATTTCCAATAGTTTCTTGCTTTAAAAACAGCTACCGTATTATTCAGTGCACAACTGTTATATCTCCATTGTGAATTGTAGCTTTCAGCATTAAATATCATACTTTTTTCATTGCACTTCTTATCACAATCCATGCCAAATATCTATCTGTCTGTCTGTCTGTCTGTCTGTCTGTCTGTCTATCTATCTATCTGATTGTCCCCCTTTTCTGGCCTCTCAATTCCCTCAGCTCTTCTGCAGTGACTTTCTCTTTAAACCAAACTCAGTGCTTCATCCACATAGTCATACCTAGAACTTGTCCCATTGCCAAAACCTGAAACCTTACATAATCTCTACTGCAATCATCCCCTTTATTGATTTCCATCTCCTACTTTGCTGCTATCTCCCTCTCATTCTGAAATTTGAACAATGCTTAGACTTCATCAGGATGTACCCTTTAGTTATATTTTCAGCCCTCAGGACTCCATAATGTTTTTCCACATCCATTCCTGGCTTAAATTATATGGTTCATTCATACACCCTCAATTGCCTTATCCTTCTCTCGTTTCCAAGTTCTCCATTAGAAAAAGACCAATTATCTGACTACTGCACCTCTACTCCCAAGCCAATGAGCTTATCTGAAGGAAAACATGGCAGTATGTGGTCTGGCCTCCCTATGTATTTATGGCCATCAGTCCTAAATAGGCTTTTCGTGTTCAACTGTGTAATACATTCTTCTCAACCAAATGACTCTTTTATACTTTTCTCTCTTTATTCACCTAACATCTTCTTTTAGTCTCATTCACAGAAGATGACCATTCTTATTTCACTGGAAAAAAAAATTCAATTAGTTAAGAATTACATCAAATTCTTACTACCATATTTATAAATCAACTTTCATATGTGTTTTCCCTTTTGTTCCTAAAAAACTATCTACCTATGTACCAAATCATCTTTTTTTCTTTCTTTTTGAGACAGGGTCTCTCTGTCACCCATACTGGTGACCTCCTGGGCACAGGTTATCCTCCCATCTCAGCCTCCTGAAGAGTTGGGACTACAGGCAGGCACCACCACGCCCAGCTAATTTTTGTATACTTGTGTAGAGACAGTGTTTTGCCATGTTGTCCAGGCTGATCTCTGACTCCTGGACTCAAGTGATTGGCCTGCCTCGGCCTTCCAAAGTGCCGGGATTATAGGTGTGAGCCATTGCACCTAGGCTTTGTGTTTCTTACCTTACTTGAGAACTTTAAACTAGCAAGTCTCCATCTTCTCATGTGTCATCAATTTTCTTTTTTAAAATCGTTAATATATCTGTGTATTTTTTTATTTTTATTTTAAGTTCCGGGGCACATGTGCAGGATGTGTAGGTTTGTTACATAGGTAAACGTGTGCCATGGTGGATTGCTGCACCCATCAACCATCAACTAGATATTAAGTCCAGGTGTGGCTATTTCTCAGAGATCTAGAATCAGCTTTCTTATCTCCAGTTTTCATTCCAGTTCTCTGCTATCATTCATACGAAAAGGTCTTGAAAGATTTCCGTAAACCTACCGTTTACAATTCCTCTCATCTCAATCTTTCTTTATGCCTTTTGTTCTATCTTTTGCCCCCAGCATTCCACCAAAATTGATTTTTTCAAATCATTTAGTGACTGCAAATTCACCAGATATAGTCCTCAGTTCTTCATTCTTTCCTTCAAAATTGTTTTTGATTTTGTTTTTTAGGGTACTATACTTTGTTTAATTTCTACCTCTAGTCTTCCATCACTAGTTCTACCTGATTGAACCTAATAATTTTGTAGAGACTTGGGTGAGGAGTCTTGAGAGCTCACTTATTTTTATTGTCTTCTCTGAATATCATGGATTTCATTCCTTAAAATGCCATTTATGGTGAGTAGTCACAAATGATTATCACTAGCCCATATCTCTCTTTTGAATTTTAGAATTATATATCCAAGTTGGTCTCAACCACTTAGGGATCATATCCATATTTCAGATTTAACATGTCCAAAATGAAACTGTTAATTATGCATCGATGTTCCAGTAAATCTTTTCCATTTAGTGAATGCCAACGGTCTTTTGCCAGTTGCTAAGGCTCAAAATCTGGGAGCCACCCCACTCTTTCTTGCTTAACCTCATGCACTCAATCAGCAAGTACTAACCTCTAGAATATGATTTCTTATTAAATCAGTTGCTACCATCCTTTTCCTAGCCTCATTTTCTTTCCTCTAGATTATTGCAAAAGCCTCTTGACTGATCTTCTCCTTCTGTTCTTTGCAATCTAAAGCAGGTTATTATCAATACTTGGGTCAGTAGCAGTGACTACTGTCTTTATTATAAGTCAGATAATATCATAATGTCACATCTATGCTCAAAATCTTACAGTGGCTTTTTATTTCATTAGCATAAAAGTAAAAACCTTTACAATTAACTACTAAGTCCCTCGTGAACTGCTACTGCTTCTCTACAACACGTCTCATCACCTCACGGGTCTCATTTGTTTCTCCTTGTGCCTCACTCTCTTGGCTCATTTCCCACTGGTTTCCTTGCTATTACTCGGATACTCCAAGCAGGCTGCTGTATCTGAGTCTTCGCATTTCTTATCTGCCTTACTGTGTTTTCTCCAGATATCTCCAAAATTCTACAGGAGTCACTCCCTTGCCCTCTTCAGTTATTTGTTCAAAATGCTATCTATTCAGTGAGGCTGCTCCTACAAATCTGCTTAAAATTGCACTTAACCCACCTGTACTTCCTACCCTTTGTCCACTTTCTGTTATTCATGGCCCTTTTTACCAGCCCATATACTATATAATTTACTTGAGATTTCTTTCTCACCTCACCAAAATGTAAGTTCTGTGAAGCCACAGAAATCCTCTCATGCTCACTTCTCTGTCTTGAGAACATAGAAGATTATCTGGCACAGAATAAATACTCAGAATTTGTTCAACAAAAGAATGAATGATGGAATTATTTTTCTGATGTTTCTTTATAATAGTTACTGTTGGTTGGGTATACACATTCTCCATAAAACCTTCAACCTATAGCACAAGGTCGTTACTAAGAGACTTCTGTTTCGCAAATTTAGTCTTCATATAATTCTCAATGTTAATATTGGACCTACTTACTGTGAGAGAGTTCCATGAGTACTACCCTTAGGATCTAAAACCTAGTCATTGTAATCTTATTTCCTTTCTTATTGTATATCCTAAAATCCTTTCAATTCCTTAGAGTTTCTCCATTTCCATTAATTTTCTCTAGTTTATTCTAGTCCATATTGATCTATATCTTCTTTGAATCTTCATGGCATATAAAGATTACTCTATAAATTTAGCTTTTGTTTTCTTCTCTAGTTCTCCAGTTTATGTCAGCCCATATTGATCTCTAGTTTATTCCAGCCTATATTGATCTCCATCTTCTTTAACCCTCAAGGCATATAAAGATTATTCTATAAATTTAGCTCTTTTTTCTTCTCCATATGTACATCTTATTTATACATGTGTACAACAAATAATGTAAAGATAACGTTTCCTAATTTTTATTTGTCACCCTAAACCTGTCACTATTATGAATTTATAGTTGGCAGTGCATAACCTCCAGGTTACTGACTTCCTAGCTAACTGAGTAAATGACTGGCTGGTTAACTGATTGATTTTTGATTGATTAATTAATAGGGCCAGGGTCAGAATGAGTAGACTCTCAGAGGAATTCTTTCTTTACCCCTGGGGAAAGATGACTGAAAGTTCAATTCAGAGATCATCTTAGAATGCCCCAAAAATATAGAAACACTTTTTTTTATATTTACATACGAAATTTAGGATAAAATTAGTGTGGGTATTTAGAAATTTAGAGTGTTTTATTTTAATGGATATAGTCATAAGAAACAGATTTAAAGTCATTGTTACAGCAAAGGTTATTGCTAATACCGGAAAATGTTATCACTTAACTGAACTCTAATACCAGAAAATGTTGTCATTTAACTGAACTGGCTTGCATACACAAAGATTTTTTAATGATTCTAATAATACTTATTTCTGATATCTTATTCAGGAGACTGAGTCACTAATTGTCCCATAAGAATGTTATGGCAAATTATAAGCTTTTTTGGACATCTGGATTCTTTGAAGGCAGAGTTTACTTTAAATTCCAAATTTAATAAAACCCAGAGATTTCCTGAAGGTGTTTACCATCTGGGAGGAATTTTGCTATTTTGTGAATATTTAAAATATATGAAACAAAAGAACAATAAAAATAATTTTATTGGCTTTTATAGGGTAAAAATTATGCATCTTTTTTCAATGCTAACTTATTCATTTGTGTGTTTCATTTATAATCTCCATAGAATGATATATTCGTGACTGCAGGTGGCAAAAATATTTAGACATGCACTGTGAAATTCCACATTCTGTGGGGCTTCCTTATTGCATTTGTATTACACAGTCAGTAAGAAAAATGCAAGCTGCCATTGTATTAATCAATTTAAATTTTTACCAAAAACTATGAGTTTTATTAATGATTGTAGTGATTTTATGTATACTTATTCAGTGGATAATATATGCTAACCTTTGAGCTAGATCCTGCTTACTCATTAGACAGAAAAAAATCAAGTCTCGCTGTGTAACTAGTATGCTTAATAGCTTCCAAGATGCTTTTCATTAACCACATAAATATTAAAAACTAAAATTTAATTCTTTCAATATAAATATATGAATATAAATAGAAAATACTTAACACTAGTGCTGAAAAGAGAACTTGAGTAAGAATATAAAGATTTAGGTATCAAATCTGTTTACCAGTTGTGTTACTGTGATTGGATTACAACACACTTTTCATATTTAGAGTTTAGTCAATTTCATATAACCAATTTGTTTCAGAAACTTGAAATAAATAAATTACCGTGTTGTGCTTGGCATAGTATCTGATATTCAATAGTTGTTATATTTATGAAAATATTAATGAATCAACTAAAGCAATATACTACAGGCTGTTTACATGAAGGAATATAAGATGGCTGACCAAGCCAACAATTTCCTATATTTAATAGCCATGTGATGAAAGTTGTCTTTGAGTACTGTACTCTATTATTCTTTTAACTTACAGAGAACTGAGAAGTTTGTATTGCTATACCAATTTAGTCTTTCCTATTTAAAACTCTCCTTTCTTCTCCTTTGTGTCAAACTAGTCACCTCATATCCTCCCCTACATCTTACCCCTTCATCTTACCACTACATCCACAGAGCTCCAGCATAATAAGAATCAGAAGTAAGTAGATCTTTAAAGAGTGAATTGGTACATCTTGAAAAGACACAGGAACCAGATGTGGGATATTTCCATCATCAGAATAAATATTAACAGTAAATGGATTTTAACCCATTTAATAGACGTCATTAGCCTGTAGAAATAGAAATTAATTACTTAATAATTTGTGATTTGATTTTTCTCTCACTAGTTGATTGCCTAATTATATGCTAAGTCCTTTATATTCTAAATAATCATGTAATTACTTAATATTTAATTAATTGGGCAATTTAAGCAGTAAGAGAGGAAAAAATTGTATTTATAGTAGAATAGCAAGAAGTAAATGCAGAAGAAAAAATGGTGTTAGAAAAATCATTACTTTTTGTAACATACTTGATTACTTAATTAAAAGAACAATCATTAATATGTTAATAATGTTTGTTAATGTTTGTTGAGAAACAGGGTATTTTCATATTCCCAAACGACTTTTCCATAAAATACTTATAAATTACAATGAATAAAATAATATTACAGTAGAGAAACCTGGGAGATGCTGCCTTCTACGAATGAAAAAGTTAACCTCATTAATGGGATAAACTGCCATTGAGTGCCTCTAGCTATGATGCACTGGGAAGGGCACAGTCTGAATTCCTGGCATTCCTGATAAAGACCAAAAAAAGCCTTTATTATGAGGATATATCAGAGAAGCTCAAATTGAGGACTGTTCTACAAAATAGCTAATATTTACTCTCTAAAATGTTAAGGTCATGAAGACAAAAAAGGTTCCAGACTGAGAGTCAAAGGAGAGACATGGCAATTAAATGCAATGTATGATCATAGATTGGATTGGATTGGATTCTGGATCTGATTTTGAGTTTGCTTTTGTTATAAAGGACATTCTTGAAACAACTGATAAAATACAAATAAGATTTGTACATTATATAATATCACTATAGGTGTTAATTTCCCAATTTTCATATTTGTACTATATTTAATAAGAAAATATTGTTTCAGGTAAATGTAATACACACACACACACACACACACACACACACACATTTACATTTGCCTCTGTTTTCTGACAGCAGACAATCCAGGACAGATGTACCTGCTTCCTTAACCCCTATCAGAAAGACAGCACAGTCCTAGTTAAAAGCCCATTGTAATGTACTCTTATATTGACTTCCCATAGTTTTCTATGGTGTTTGATTTCCCCTCTTGCAACAAGTATATGTAACTTTTTTTTGCTGCAATTGTATACCAGATGTTTTTTGGCCACTTGAGTTTATCACATTACAAACATGGTGCTGCATTTTGTAGCAGCCAACACAGTGCTCAGAAGACAGAAACAAACCAGGATCTGCAGACTTAGGATGTATCTGTTCACTTTACCATCATAAGGAATGCAATGTCTCTTATTATTCACTGGTTTACTGGAGTGCTCTTTCAAAAAACTCTCTGCCTTATAATGCAAAGCTCTGCTTGGCATTGTGAGCACTGTTCTATTTAATGTACAACGTCCCTCCAAGAGTGTACTAAAGAAATAAAATGTCTCATATGGTCAAGTTGAAGTTTTAGTATGGAGGACTAAGGTCTTAAGCTGATTAATTATAAGTTCACTAATTAATTCATGTACTTATTTCATCTAATTGCTGATGCCGTAAAACCCTTAGTCTATCTAACGGATAATGTATGCCATTTTCCAATATCTGGCTGCATTTTTTTCTCTTACCGCTAATATGAATCTCTTCTAAATATCTTTTCTTAGAAAACAGCTGTATGATGCCCAGACAAGATTAATGAAATGCAGTTAGAACATATGAATTATAACATGCAATTAAAAGCCATTTTATTGAAATACACTCACATATATTCTTGAAGACAATATATGTCATCAATGCAAATATTGCATAATTAAATTGAAAGAACCATTTAGAAGCACACTCATGTCCAAAACCCAGTGTACACATTTAAAAAAAATGTTACACTGGGAAAATTACTTACCTTTTCAAAAATTTAAATACCTTGACAATTATATAATTCTACCTTTCTGTTTTGTGAATAAATTAAAATAGATATAAAACTCCCAGTAACATCCCTACCACCTATTATATTTGTAAGTGAGATCAGTTTCAGGGATTTATCATTCCATTCATTGTAGTTAGAGATCAGACTTTTCTTGCTCTGGTGGGCAAGCATTATTAAGTGACATTCTTTCCCAAAAAATAATAAGCATGCTAAGGAGAGGGAATGACATGATTAGTGTGTCTCGACCCATATCTCATTTTGAATTGCAGTCCCCAAGTGTTTAGGGAGAGACCTGGTGGTAACTGACTGGTTTATGGGGGTGGTTTCCCCTTGATATTCCCGTGATAGGGAGTGAATTCTCATGAGAACTGATGGCTTTATAAATGGTAGTTTTTCCTGTGCTTACACATGCTCTCCCACCTACCATCATGGAAGATGTACCTTTCCTCCTCTTTCGCCTTCTGCCATGATTATAAGTTTCCTGAGGCCTCCCCAGAAATGCATAACTGTGAGTCCATTAAACCCTTATTCTTTATAACATGCCTAGTTTTGGGTATTCTTCATGGCAGCAAGAGAATGGACTGATAAAGTAAATTGGTACTACAGAGAGTGGGGTGCTGCTATAGAGAGAGCTCAAAATGTGGAAGCGACCTTGGAACTAACAGGCAAAGAGTTTGGAACAGTTTGGAGGGCTCAGAAGAAGACAGGAAGATGTGGGGATGTTTGGAACTTCCTAGAGACATGTCAAATGGCTTTGACCAAAATGCTAATAGTGATATGGATAATGAATTCCAGGCTGAGGTAGTCTCAAGTGATGATGAGAAACTTCTTGGAAACTGGAGCAAAGGTGACTTTTGCTATACTTTAGCAAAGAGACTAGCAGCATTTGGCCCCTGTCCCGAAGATCTGTGGAACTTCGAACATGAGAAAGATGATTTGGGGCATCTGGCGTAAGAAATTTCTAAGTGGCAAAGTGTTCAGGAGAAAGCAGAGCATTAAAGTTTGGAAAATATGCAGCCTGACAATGCAGTAGAAAAGAAAAACCCATTTTCTGGGGGAAAATTTAAGCCCTCTGTGGAAATTTGCATAAGTAATGAAGAGCCCAAATGTTAACTTCCAAGACGTTGGGGAAAATGTCTCCAGGGTATGTTACAGACCTCATGACAGCCCCTCCCATCACAGGCCCAGAGGCCTAGGAGGGAAAAAAGGTTTTGTGCCTTTATCCTCATTGTATCTAAGAAGTAATTAACTTGCCTTTGATATTACAGGCTGATAAGTAGAAGGGACTTGCCTTGTCTTTACTCTGTGAACTCTTCAGTTAATACTGGAATGAGTTAACACTTCAGGGAATTGTTGGGAAGGCATGGTTAGTTTTGAAAACTTGTCTTGTCTCAGATGGGACTTTTGACTATGGAGTTTGTGTGAATGCTGAAATGATTTAAGATTTTGGGGGGACCGTTGGGGAAGGCATGATTGGTTTTGAAATGTGAGGATATAAGATCTAGGAGGGGCCAGGGGTGGAATGATATGGTTATACTTTGTGTCCCCCCCACCAAATTTTTTCTTGAATTGTAACCCACAGGTGTTTAGAAAGAGACCTGGTTGGAAGTGATTGGATAATCCAGGTGGTTTCCCCCATGCTGTTCTCATGATAGGGAGTGAATTCTTACAAGATCGGATGGTTTTATAAATGGTAGTTTTTCCTGTGCTTACACATGCTCTCCTTCTTGCCACCATGTATGATGGGCCTTTGCTCCTGCTTCACCTTCTGCTCTGATTGTAAGTTTCCTGAGGCTTCCCAGCAATGCAGAAATGTGAGTCCATTAAACTGTTTTTCTTTATGAAATATCCAGTCTCTGGTATTTTGGTTATTAGTCTGTTCTCCAGATGACAGCAGACTAATACAGAGACAAAGACTCATTTATTCATCATTGATTTCGAAGACTCTAGTGGCATTTATTGATATAAAAATATGATAAAAATGATCAAAGTTTCCAACTCAAGATGCATGAAAGTACAAAGTTTATCAAATTTCAAAAATGTAGAAAGAAAATCAGAAATAGAGAAAAATAACAAAGACAGAAATAGGTTCTTGGAAAGATTAATGCATTTGATAACATATTTTCAGTATTGGTGAAGAAATAATAGAGAAAAATACAGAACAGCAGTATCAGGTATCAAAACAAGGAAATCAATATAATCATACAGAGAAAAGGTGATAATATGATTTTATTAACAGCCTTATCCCAATAAATTTGACATTTAAATAAAATGACTAAATTTTTGGAAAAACAAAATGGACAAAATAAGTGGAACAATCCCTGTTAAGCCTTAAGATAAAAACCTATTTCCTATTTTTAAAGTATATCCATTATTTCTAACCTTCCCAAATAGATTTTATGGTGAATTATTCCAAATGTTTAAGAAGACTTAACATTAACCTTAAACTTTTCAAGAGAATAGTAATTGTGAAACAATCCCAGATTTGTTTTACAAGTAGTTGCCAAAACCTGAGACAAACACTATAATAAACAAAATTAACTAAAAGTTTGCATCATGGAAATCAATGAACAAAACTGTACACAATATGTTAGCAGATTAAATCAACCAATATGTAAATGAGATGATACATCAAACCTTTGTTAGTTGACTGAGTTTAGAGGGACTGAAGGCATTGTTCAATGAATAAAGCAAAATGCAGAAAATATTTTGTAATACAATACAAAAATTATTTAACTAAAGTAATTAACTATTAGTGAAATGGACAAAAGTGGAACAGAAGGAACTAAGAAAATGTATGTTTTTGAGACAATAAATGCATTTTTAAAATGTATAATAAAGTATAAAATCTGTAAGTAGGTAAGTCCAGCTTGAATAAAAAATCAAAAAGGGATGTACCCTGTAATCTAAAGCATATATCACTGTAATAACATATATGACAAAAGTGAAAAGGGCATGCTGTTTACAATATAGAGATAAAAAATTGCTTATTACTTAAAATGTCAACATTATATATGTACATTTTACCATAGAAAGTGATGAAAATCAAATGGATATAAAAACAAATCTGATAGATGAAACATGAGAGCTATGGAAGGAATGTAGAAGAATTATTTTGTGACATTTGGGGTGGGGAGGAACTTCTTAAATAAGTTTCAGAAGAACTATATATTTTATGTGTTAGACTTGACTATATGAATTTTAAGTTATTCTTCAATGAAGAACACCATGGGCAAAGATTATAAACGATTGACAAGTGGAAAAACATGTATAATATCAAAATGAGCAAATGATAATAAACTAAAATATACCAAGAACTTATGCAAACCAATGAGAAAATGACAATAAATCTAATACTTTTAGATGCAAATGGTACAAAAAGGGAATTTATATAAGGAAAACTTAAGTGGTGAATGACAATATGATAACGCATAGCATCTCTCAAGTGGTCAGATAAATAGTAAATAAAAGCAATGATATAGCAGTTTACCTAGAGAGGTTTGGCATGGATTAGAAAGAAAAAAAATATATCACATCCCATGGAAGAATGGCAATGTATAAAAATCCTCAATGCATTGCTGCTAAGAATCAAAGCAGGCAGTGCTGTCTTGCAGATCAGGCAGTACTCAGTGAGACAAAGAATATACATTTCCCATGATTTATTAATAATTCCTATATGTATGTGGACCAGAAAAAAATAGCAGAAGGGGATGTAGCAAAATGTTCAGCATCATTTTTGATAGCAGGCAATGAGAAGCCATCGGGGTCCACCAACAGGTAAATATAGAAATAAAATAAGGTAGAGATTTTTCACAATATCTACATAACATTAAAAGCTCTAAGTTAATTGTGCTTAAAACATTATTGAATGATCTCAACAACTAGTGTTAAAAATAGGATTTTCATAGAAATAAACACATTTTATACACAAAATAAACTACACTATATATTTTGAACAGCCATGTAGTAAATAAATTAGAGTATCTATTGAGTAGAGAGGAAAATAATTAGAGATTATAGGTAAAAGGGGAAATAATGATGGGTGTTGACAGTATTGCATAAAATGAGGAGTGGGAGTATGTTACTTCTGCACTCAATTTGAAAAACAAAGGAAAATAAAAGGCAAAGGAGGAAACAGTGATATGTAATCTGGATACACATTTTCAAAATAACCAATAATTAAAGAGGAAATAAATCTGTCAACATGAGCAATGTTGGAAAAATGTGATTTATGAAATGAGAGTGTTAGATAAATCTGAATGTTTTTCGACAGGAAATGTTGCAAGAGGAGAAGCAGTCTGCCATTTGTAAAGGAGGCTTATATGGCCTCAATATCTACTCCAGCAGCTGCCACAAACCACTGTGCATAACTGTTAACTGAATAAAACTGAATAAAGGATTGAATGCTCCTTACTTTTTCTTAGCCAGTTGTTATAATGAAGTTGGGTCAAAGCACCAATGTGTCAGACCATTTATATTGTTAAAAGTAAACTGCTGCTTGGGGGAAAAAAAAAGAAGAAGAAAAGAAAAGAAAGATACCATCTGGATGCAAATACCCTTCTGTTCTCACCTCCTGTCTTGGGCTTATTACCTACGGGCATAAAACAAAATGCCAAAGTGCTGCTTGCAACTGATTCAAAATTAAATAGTGCCATATCGTAGTTTCTGAATGTGAAAGATGTCATCTCTAGACCATAACTATAGTAGTCTAGTCTCAGTCTGAAAGTCAGTATTTTCCCCTTATTACCAGGCTGTGGACAATCACAGAGTATATGACTGCCAGTGAATAAGGAATGACAGAAAAATAGCACGGTATGAAAAGTCTCATGTATTTCAAAGTGTCATTATAGGACCTGTCTGCATCAAAAGTCACATTGCTTTTTTCAGAATGTCTTTAGTTTTTATGGAAGTAGAAAGGCAAAGGATGATTTTGCATTTAGACCCCAGATTAGGAATATTTTATTACATTCTCTCTTTCCTCCAGACTATTACCATGAAAGTGGCCTTGAAAATAATATACAAAATTGTCATCCACATATTGAGCAACGTAAGAAATTTGTTGAAAAAAATCTGTAAAGTCATTTTAAAAACTCACATCTTACCACATTGTACTATATATTAGTTATCTCCAAATATTTTATTGGATTTATGCTCTCAATAATACTATATTTGCATATATATGTAGATAAAAGTTTCTGTGTATAAGGAATCGTGTAGGGTAGCTTCCAAGATGGCCAAATAGGAACAGCTCCGGTCTACAGCTCCTAATGAGATAGACACAGAAGATGGGTGATTTCTGCATTTTCATCTCAGGCACTGGTTCACCTCACTGGGACTGGTTGGTGAGTGGGTGCAGCCCGCAGAGGGTGAGCCAAAGCAGCATGGGGTGTCGCCTCATCTGGGGGGTGCAAGGGGTCTGGGGATTTCCCTTTCCTACCCAAGGGAAGCTGTGACAGACTGTACCTGGAGGAGCAGTACACTTCTGCCTACATACTGCGCTTTTCCCACAGTCTTCGTAACCAGCAAACCAGGAGATTCCCTCTTGTGCCTGGCTTTTGGGTCCCACGCCCATGGAGCCTTGCTGGCTGCTAGTGCAGCAGTCTGAGATCCACCTGGGATGCTGGAGCTTGGCTGGCGTTGGGGCGTCCACCATTGCTGAGGCTTGAGTAGGCAGTTCTATGCTCACAGTGTAAACAGAGCAGCAGGAAAGCTCGAACTGGGCAGAGCCCCTACAGCTCAGCAAGGCCTACTGCCTCTCTAGATTCCACCTCCGGGGGCAGGGCATATCTGAACAAAAGGCTTCTGCAGACTTAAATGTCCCTGCCTGACAGCTCTGAGGAGAGTAGTGCTTCTCCCAGTATGGTGTGCGAACATCAATAATGGACAGACTGCCTCCTCAAGGGGGTCCCAGACCCACGTGTAGCCTGACTGGGAGACACCTCCCAGTAGGGGCTGACAGACACCTCAAACAGGCAGGTGCCCCTCTGAGATGAAGCTTCTAGAGGAAGGATCAGGCAGCAATATTTGCTGTTCTGCAGCCTCTGCTGGTGATACCCAGGCAAGCAGGGTCTGGAGTTGACCTCTAGAAAACTCCAGCAGACCTGCAGCTGAGGGGCCTGTCTGTTAGAAGGAAAAGTAACAAACAGAAAGGAACAGCATCAACATCTACAAAAAGGACATCCACACCAAAACCCCATCTGTAGGTCACCAACATTAAGAACCAAAGATAGATAAAACTAAAAAGATGGGGAGAAACCAGAGCAGAAAGGCTGAAAATTCCAAAAACCGGAATGCCTCTTCTCCTCCAAAGGAACACAACTCCTCACCAGCAATGGAACAAAACTGGACGGAGAATGGGTTTGACAAGTTGACAGAAGTAGGCTTCCGAAGGTCGGTAATAACAAACTTCTCTGAGCTAACGGAGCATGTTCTAACCCATCGCAAGGAAGCTAAAAACCTTAAAAAAGCTTAGATGAATGGCTAACTAGAATAACCAGTGTAGAGAAGAGCTTAAATGACCTCTTGAAGCTGAAAACCACAGTATGAGAACTTTGTGAAGCATACACAAGCTTCAATAGCAGATTCGATGAAGCAGAAGAAAGGATATCAGTGATTGAAGAGCAAATTAATGAAATAAAGCGATAAGATAAGATTAGAGAAAAAAGAGTGAAAAGAAACAAAACCTTCAAGAAATATGGGACTATGTGAAAAGACCAAATCTACGTTTGATTGCTGTACCTGAAAGTGATGGGGAGAATGGAACCAAGTTAGAAAATGCTCTTCAGGATATTATCCAGGAGAACTTTACCAACCTAGCAAGGCTGGCCCACACTCAAATTTTCTCAAACCACATGTTTGATAAAATGACCAATAAATGGAATATGTAAAGAATGTTCAAAACTCAGCAGCTTAACAAAGAAACAATCCAATTAGCGAGTCCAAGACATGAAGAGACATTTTACTAAAGAGGATATGCAGATGGCAAAAAAGCACATGGAAAGATGTTCGACATCATTATCTGTCAGAGAAATACATATGAAAACTATGAGATATCACTGCACAGGTATCAGAATGCTAATATAAAATATAGTGGCAACGTCACATGCTGCTGAGCTTGCGGAAAAACTAGATCACTCGTCCCTTGTTGGTGAGAATGTGGAATGGTACAGCCACTCTAGAAAACAACAACAAAAAAGTGGTTTCTCAAAAAATACTAAACATGCAGTTGTACTCTGCGGCATTTATGGCAGAGTAATAAATAATGTTCCCACAGGAAACCTGAACGTGAATGTCCATAGCAGCTTTATTCATAATAGCTAAAACCTAGAAACAATTTAGATGCCCTTAAACAGACTAAGCAAACTTTTTAACATCCATACCATGGGTACTACTTAGCGATAAAAAATAAATAAATAAATAAATAAACAGCCAGGCGCGGTGACTCACACCTGTAATCCCAGCACTTTTGGAGGCCGAGGCAGGCAGATCACCTGAAGTCAGGAGTTCGAGACCAGCCTGGCCAACATGGTAAAACCCTGACTCTACTAAAAATTCAGAAATTAGCTGGGTGTGGTGATGCGTGCCTGTAATCCCAGCTGCTCAGGAGGCTGAGGCAGGAGAATCAGTTGAACCTAGGAGGCGGAGGTTACAGCGAGTTGAGATCATGCTCCAGTCTGGGTGATAGAGCAAGACACTGTCTCAAAAAGAAAAAAAAAAAAATTACAAATTTTTGGAAACTGAATTGGTTTCCAATTTGGATGCCCTTTATTTCTTTCTCTTTTCTGATTGCTCTTGCTAGAACTTCTGGAACTATGTTGAATAAGAGTGGTGAAAGTGGGCATCCTTGTCTTTTTCCAGATTTTAAGGGCAGGGCTTCCAGTTTTTTCCATTAAGTATGATACTAGCTGTCAGTCTGTTGCACGTGGCTTTTTATTATGTTGATGCATGTTTCTTCTATACCCAGTTTTTTGAGTGTTTTTGTCAAGAAAGTATCTTGAATTTTATCAAATGCTTTTTCAGCATTAACTGAAATGACTATATAAATTTTATCCTTCATTCTGTTGATATGATATATCACATTCATTTGCATATGTTGAACCATGCTTACATCCGTGAGATAAATCCCAATGGGTCATGATGAATGATCTTTTTAACATATTGATGAATTTGATTTGCCAGCATTCTGTTGATGTTTTTTCATCAGTATTCATCCGGGATATTTGTTTTTTTTTTTTTTCTTTTTTTGTATTAGGCAATACTAGCCGTGTACTAACCTTGTAGAATAAATTTAGAAGTGTTCCCTCCTCCTCTGTTTTTTTGGAATAGTTTGAGTAGAATCGATATTAGTTCTTTAAATGTTTCTCCAGCTTCAATAGTGAGGTCACTGTGTCTTGGGCTTTTCTTTGCTGAGAGACTTACAGCCTTAATCTCAGGAGTGTATTGTTTAATTCCTATATGTTTGTAGAGTTTCCAAAATTTATCTTGATATTTATTTTAAGTTTTATTCCATTGTGATCAGTGAAGAACCTTGATATTATTTCAGTTTTTTGGAATGTTTTAAGATTTGTTTTGTGGCATAACGTATGGTTTGTCCTTGAGAATAATGTGTGCACCGAGAAGAAGAATGTATATTCTGCAGTTGTTGGATGAAACGTTTTGTACATATCTATTAGATTCATTTTGTCTATAGTGTGGATTAAGTACAGTATTTCTTTGTTGATTTTCTGTCTGGATAGTGTACTCAATGTGAACACAGGGTGTTGAAGTCAACCGCTAGACATACTGGAGCTCCTTTGTATGTTGCTTGTTTCTTTTCTCTTGGTGATTTTAGGATCCTTTCTTTATCCTTGACTTTTGGGAGTTTGATTATAAATTATCTTCACGTACTCTTATTTGGGTTAAATCTGTTCTATAGTCTTCTTGTACTTTGTTTCTCTAGGTTGAATATCATAATTATAATTACCAATAGATATCAATATATTTTAAAATAACAAAGAATTGTTTTTAAGGAAGAAAAATCCTAATTAAAAGAAAGTCATGTATTTTAGAATTACGTTAATTTTCAAAAAACAAAAGAGCAGGTCCAAAGTTGGTTACTATATAAAAATAACCATTTTTATTTGCCCTTAAAGAATACTATACCTGGCCAGGTGCAGTGGCTCACGTCTGTAATCCTAGCACTTTGGGAGGCTGAGGCAGGTGGATCACGAGGTCAGGAGTTCAAGACCAGCCTGGCCAAGATGGTGAAACCCCATCTCTACTAAAAACTCAAAAATTAGCCGGGCATGGTGGCACATGCCTGTAATCCCAGCTACTCAGGAGGCTGAGGCAGAGAATTGCTTGAACCCGAGAGGTGGAAGTTGCAGTGAACCAAGATCACACCACTGCACTCCAGCCTGGGCAGCAGAGCAAGACTCCATCTCAAAAAAATATATATATATACCTTACAGGATATTTGTCTAACCTAATTATTTTCCTAAGTTAATATTTATAGCATTATATTTTTAAATCTTTAGTTTTAATAACCTGTTTAATAACTAGTTTCCTTGACATATAACATATTTTATATAGTAACTGAAGTTTAGCCATACATTGCGTTACCATCTGGTGACAGTAAGACTTCTTACGTAATGAGATGATTGATGACAACATAATGAAAAAACATGATTTGTAGATAATGATGACATAGGTTGTATCCTTACATTTGCCACTTAGTTGTGCAATATGGAAAAAACTCACTAAACCCTTTCTGCATCGATTACCCCATTTCAAAAAGAAAATATCAATCTAAAAATATTATAATTACAAAATGCGATAATATATTTATAGTTTATAGATCTAGTCATTTAGCCCACTCCTTGAATGTTTAGCCCACGGCAGGCACTGTCATGTAACCAATTACATGGAATTAAAGACACAAACACACAAATACATAAGGGGTGCTTTTATGGAGCTTATACTTTGGTGGTGCCAGGGAAGTCAGTGAATAAATGAGTGAGTGCACGAATACATGCATAAACACGGGCCATTGTCAATTTAGGGACTGCTAATATGGTCACAGTAAATGTTGGCAGAATATTGATTTCATGGTTATTTTCTTCTGTGCTCAAGAAAGTTTGTCATGGAATCACTGGGGAAAATTCAGCTAGCATTTAGCTGATTATTAGTCATTGCTTGCAGGGTACAGTGGTCGACTGATCAAGTTTTGGAGTTAGCAAGAAAATACCAGTTTCTCTACTTTATACTGCATGACCTCAGGCATATTCTTCATCTTCCCTTAGCCTCAATTTTCTCAGCTGCAAATTAGAGATCATAATGTTACCCATTTGCTAACGTTGTGAGAATTGAATAAGATAATACATATAAAGTGTTTGGCCCCTAATCAACAGTCAATGCCTTTGACATTTTATCACTTTTATACTTCCCAGGGAAAGTTGATGTTAAGTAGTTGTTATTATTACGTGGAGGTAGCGAGTCCCTTTTGCCATATGTCTTACCTATTTTGTTACTTCCTGATCTACTTCATTCAATTCAAAGGTACAGCATATAGTTCTGCATACTGCGATAGCATTCTAAGAGACAAAATGGAATATTTGAATCACTGATTATTGTCAATGTTATAACTATTGTCATTGCTACACAGTTTTTTTATGTTGCGAAGAATTTTCAGTCAAAAATAACATGGAATATATCTTATTTTAATTGAAGATATAAATGAGATTTCAGTGTACTGAGATGCTTATCAAAGTATGCTTTGCTACTAAGTAATGAAGCTACTACTGAAATACATACTTCTTGATGGTATTCCAGCATGTGTGATCAAACACTGATGAGATTCGTTATATGATTTAGCAGTATTTGAAAGTATCTGTGGTTTTTATATTGTTTTAATTCTTTTGAAAAATATCAACATATCAAGGTGTGTGTAGGTCCTTAGTATTTTATTCATTTGAAACTTACTTTTTTTTACAATTTAATATTTCATTTACTTTTGCATAAAATATTTTAGTTCAATTATAAATAATTATATTGCTTCTCATTTATCACTTTGTTGGCCCATATTTTACTATTGTGTTTCTGAGTGTTTTTCTCAAATTTAGAATTTGATATTCTTAATCGGCATACTTATGCCAAAATTATAATACTTATTCTAAAATATTTTGTTTTATTTCTGAATCTAAAAACAAATTGCAATTAGAAAAAATATACTATTTTACTTAAGTAGCTAACTTTTATTAAAAACCAAGTGGTTATTGGCCCTACCTAGTATTATTTGCAATCGTATTTTCTTGAATTAGTGATATTGAAAAGACAATATTAAAAATATATATAATCAAATAGGTTTAATTTTTTCCAAATTCTATCAAATGTTCAAAATTATGCCTTGAGTTGGTTTGCTTCATATGGGTAAAGATTTTCATTTTTTTCTATATTATTTCTATTATATTGGGCTAAAAAGGCATTTGATTATACCTCATCATCAGGAGCATCTACACTTTTTATATCACACATTTTGTTAAACAAGTTCTACTTTATTCTTGAAGACATTTTAGTCCTCTAGATTTATTATTTCTTCCTCATGTTATTTCTCTTTCATTAATATACAGTATTTCCATTTGTTCATCATGATTTTTCTCTGTAGTTTTTCTCTAGCATGTAGGAATTTTTGGTAGGTCATATTTTAAAATAGCTCACTCCATTGATAAACACCAGCAGCTTGTAAAGGATTTTGGGTAACTGATACACAGAGGCTCTTAACTTACGACGGGGTTTTGTTCCAATAAACCCACTGTTAAGTTGAAAATATCATTGTCAAAAATGCATTTTATGCACCTAATCTACCGAACATCGTGGCTTAGCTTAGCCTGCTTTAAACATGTCAGAACACTTATGTTTAGCCTACAGTTGGGCAAAATCTTGCAATACAGTACAGCATTGCTTGTCCACTCTGGTGTTTGTGTGGCTGACTGGAAGCTGTGGTCTCACTGCCCCTGCCCAAGCATTATGAGAGAATATGAAACTGCATATTACTAGCCCAGGAAAAGAAAATAATGCAAAATTGGAAGAATATTTTCTGCTGAATGTGTATTACTTTCACACCATGAGGAAATTGAAAAGTGTAAGTGAAACCACTGTAAGTGGAGGAACATCAATATACAATTATCTAGATAACTCACAGACCTTCTTAGATGTCAAAATATAGAAGATCTGACACTAGACCAGGGAATTTGCTGTTTTTTTATTCTTGTATTTAATATGCCTATTTCCTTGGATAATCCCACAACTGGGTACACTGAGTATGCCAGACACTGTGATTGACACAGAAGTTCCACAGAGAGTCTTTTAATTAAAAACTTGTTAATGACCTTCAGTCCTTTCATTTTTATCATTTTCCCAAGGTTTTACAGTACTTGGTGTTTTCCAAAGATCTTTGATTTATCTCGTTTTTATTGTTTTAATTAACTCTGTCAAGCAGAATGAGCATATACGTTATTATTGAGTTTTACAAATTAACAAGTTAAGTCAGATTAAGTGAATTTTTACCAAGATTTTAAAATGATGTCTCTAGAGATTCAAAAAGTCTTCATGTAGCTCATATAAATAGGCCAGTATTTGTTAAAGAATAAATGAAAGTCTCTGTTAGATTTGTGCAATTTGTCTTCAAAAGGGAGATAAATCAATCTAGCTACTACTGTTGACATGATTAACAATTAAATTATGAATTTATGTGGAATCTAGAAAAGAGAGAATATAGACTTTGAGTTTTTAAATACAAATAAAAATTGTGCTCCTGTTTTACTGCTGATTGAAGATATAAATTATGTTGCATTCCTGACATAGTTATAATGAAACATCTGCTTGTGGCCTATAAACAAAGTACACAAACACTTTGGGAATGAACAAAATGTGTAATAAAGATTGAAGAGATTGGTATCATCAGTTAGATATAGTAATAACATATTTGAATTTAAGGATAGTGTTGGGGCAAATGTCTTATTTGTAAGAATTGAATTGCTAGCTTGCCAAATTGAAATTGAAAAACTTCTGTAATCTTTGAAAATATTCAGCAAATATTTATTAATATTGAACTAAGAAAACTGCTTAGCAATACATCCAGATCCTTACAGCTCAGTTATGTCAACTTCTGAGAAAATAAAATTTTACAATATATTATAAATTTATATAAAATTTGTGTTGCTTTACTAACAGAATAATTAAACATGTGTGAAGAATTCATAATTAAATACAAATTATGAGAATTTAAAGTCATGTTTTTTAGCTTTAGATGTTCACAGCAAGTATTTTTTAGAAATTTTAAAAAATCGTGTCTTTTGTATACATGTTTAGAGATACATAGTTTTGTCTCTGAGTGTGTGTGTGTATTTAACAACAATGCCTATATACTTAGGAATTTTATATTATGTAGACACGATGGTTTATGTTGTAAACTCTCTAGTTTACTCTTGTATTATGTTTATGTCTTTGTAGTATATTACAATATTAGTATACTATATATATTGGAATATTACTGTGTTGGAATATCATCTCTTTCCTAAAAGTAAGATCTTATCCTTAATCTACAAGAGTACTAATTTTTGTTGTATTTTACCCACTTTTCCTTAGAAAATATCTTACTATATTCACATCGAAGTGGTATCATTATAGGAGTTTTTTAAAAAATTCTTTTCTACGCTTTTCTTGTTTTATACAGTTTATTACATTTATATAAAGATTATTTTCTAATAACATTAATTTCAGATTATTTCTAGTAAAAATCAGTACTGACTAATCAGTCATTCAATGAATATTTATTAAATGTTTTCTTTATTAGGCACTGTGTGAGGCACTAAAATTACAAGTTTAACAGTGTTTATTGGAGAAACAGGGAAATAATAAGGCAATTACAATATATACAGAGATACGCACTTTTATAAGCAGATGTAGAACACTCCTTTCCCGAAAAACAAAGATACTTAGTGGAATAGTGATGTCTACATTAATAACTGAAAATGAAATAGGAGACAATTAATACAATTGTTGAGAGAATGACATTTCAGATTCAGGGTCTACTTATGAGAACTAGATTCAGGAATAAGCTAGACTTCTCCAAATTATTTCTGTAAGTCCAGAGAAGTAGCTCTTAGAATCTGGGTGGTTATAGGAATAAACTTCTGAAAGCAGATGAACATAATGAAATCAAGGTTAGTTGATTTTTTTCATCTTTAAAATTATTTATCATCCTTAGGTCTCTAGGAGAACATTTTAAAGATTTTAAACAGGTTGGTAAAATAAACAGGTTTCTGGCTGCACATTACAGGATAAATTTCAGAAGAAGAGACACAGGAAGACCAGTTAGAAGGTTATCACAATATTTCAGGTAATTTTTGTCTGATAGGGCAGAAAAAATTATAGAGATGATAAGAACGTAGAAGAAACAGCATAGTGAAAGGAAGACATCAAGGGTAAGTCTCACCGTTGTGAATTGGGACATTAGTACCTATCCATTCGCAGAATGATTCACACAGGCTTGGAATGGGGAAGACACCTTAAATTGGAAATATCTGTAAAGCATCAGAGTGGAGCTGTCCAGTGGATAGTTGAAAATAGTGGTCTGGGTTCTAAAGAGTTATGTGAGTAGAAGGGAGATAATTGTTAAAGCCATGAATCAAGATTAAATCACTACACAGGTATGTGAAATTCATAGAGAAGAGGGCCAAGGAAAGAATCAGAAAGAAATATGCCTTTTAAAGAGGGGCATAAAATAAAAACACAGATAACTAATATTTTTGTGTTAGTTTCTATCTACTAGTAAATGTCTCAAGTGCTTTGCTCATAATAATACTCATAATCTTCCCACCAACTCCATGAAGAGGAACAGATGGTATTTTGCAAATGAAGAAACTTAGTCACAGAGAAGTTGGGTAACTTGCCCAAGGTCATAGAAATCGTATGTGTAAGAACAAGATTTCAAACTCATGCAACGTGCAACATAATTCTCTTCTAATTTTGGTTGGTCCATAGAGGTAAGAACGCCCAGAAAGTTGTCCAGAAATGTTACAGGAAAATCATGAGAGTATTTTGGTACAGAAATCAAATATTTCAAAAGCAAAAGAAATCAAATGTCAAATGATATGTATGCAGAGATCAATTAGGGTAGGGAGAAAATTATTCATTGGTTTAAAATTAAGGCTGTTTAGGTGTTAAAAGACACCTAAAAATATGACTGCATGCATGTGTTGTTTACAGGGAGGAACCTGGATAGGACTGAGCCATGAATGGACAGATATCAGCAATGTTTTTATATGACCAAGGCAAAAATAGGCAGGTATATTTTTCAGAATTTGCCCTAGTTGAGAAAAGAAAGTTTCTAGGGTTTTAAAGCTTGATCCATTTGTCTTTGGGAACAAGCTCTACGGGCTTGTTACCCAAGCCAGAGGACACGTAGGTCTACTTCTCTTCCTGGTTGTTTGTGCCAGAGGCACTAGAGAATCCCAGTATCTTTTGCACCTGGTAATATTCAGTGTGCTGTCATTTGAGACAGAAGAGTAACCTTGAATCCTGGTTTCTGTCTTTGATGTCTCTGCTTACGTCAAATTTTCTTGGCTTTTATAAAACTACACAAACTTATTTCTTCCCTTTCTTTACACATTTTGTGCCGTATTTCTTTTCTTGTGTGCTCTTGCCCTTTCCTCCCAAGACAAAATTTACCCTTAATATAAGCTATCATCCTTACACTCTACTCCTTATACGTTACTTCTCTCCTCTTTTCCTGCACCTTCCTCACTCAGTAGCTGATACTGATTCCTAGATCTAACAATTAGCTTCAGCCTGGAAATTCCTAAAGTTATATTTTCAATTGAGTCTTCACACAAGTTTTTGTAACTCTTTTACTTCAAATTTACCCTGAAAGATGCATTTCATTCTTAATCTAAGTTGAGTGAATTTTAATGAAAGAAGCTAACTTTCATTAAAGAATATGTAATGTAAATAATACTACTGTTTACAACTATTCTACTATAAATAAGGTACCGTGCTATGTATTTCATACAATATATCTAAATAATTGTAAAAGGACATCGAGGTTGACGGTATTATTTGTACTTTATATATGTGAAAAATGAAATTAAACAAAGTGTCCGTGTTCATATAAAAAGCATGGGTTTGGGAATTCATTCCAGCTTTATCTACTTAAAAGCCCAATGCTTAGCTTTTATGCCTATTCTTGAGATAAAGCAAAAGCTGAAAAGAGACCCATTTGCCAAATAGTTAAGACATTTGAACAAATCAGTCAGCAGAATTCAAAATCATAATATAAAGAAATTAATCATTGTACCATTACAAGCAAATTCTTTTTTTATGTAAAAGTAATCTAAAATTCTTTGTGTTATCATCTATCTTTGTATTTGCCTTGTGGGTACTAAAATGACATCATGTTCTATTTGAATTTTGTCACAATTTCCTATATAATATATACATTATATATTATATATCCTTCTAAATTATATGATAATTTATAGTAAGCCACTTTTTTCTAGAAAGGTATTCAAACACTGGGTAAAATAATGCAATCAGACAAAGTAAACATTTAAAATTGATCATGAAGCAATTATGGCAGATAAAAAATGAGGGTAGGTAAGAGAAGGTGAAGACAAGGCTGAAGTTGATAGCCAAACTGCAAGAAGAAATTTCTATCCATGCTAGACTAGGCCAAAAAATTGTCATTAATTTTCTAACAGTTAATGCAAAGGAGTAAAATAATAATTTACATGCCCATGAGGTAAAATTAATCAATTTATCTGAATAAGTTTAACTAGGAAATAACAGCAAGGCTTATCTTACAATACCGGTAATACCAGTAATAAGAATGTAGCTCTTTTACAGACGCAGTACTTTTATTTTCATAGGTAGACTTTCTGGGTTTCAGAGTAACAGCATTAATGAAAATTAGGAAGAGGAAAGTTATACATACCTAAACAAAATGCCACTACAGAAGTATTGCAGAAGTGTTAACAAGCAGTCAAGTTGTACAGCAAAAGCTGAGAGGACTGACCCTACGCATGCATAGACATGAGCAATGGAACCTCAGGTTTTATCCAACACGGAAAACTCTCCTGAAATATTAGCAGTGAATATATTTAAAGCACCTGTAACCAAATAATATTAATCATTTAAGTTATTTCAGCAAAATATGTTTAAACGATACAATAATAATGCAAGTTCATGGTATACACTTGCCTTAGATTACGATTACTAGAAAATAGTTACTGAGAGAGAGTTTTCTGTTCAGGAGGATTAACAGAGAGGGCTTTCAAGATTGGAGAGAGGGAAAGAAGGAGCATTGGACAGAGGGAGAGGCTGAACTGTCATGCAATTCCACAAAGACCTCAGCTCTTCCACAGGGAGCCATGGAGCAGTAATTGACCTTCAGAGTGGGCCTTTCTAGAGGCGACAGGGCCAGAACCTTACACCTCTGTATGTACCGGTCACTGGGTGCACACTCTCCAAATAGATGGGGTATCACATCTTCAGCTTAGGCAATTCCTGGAAAGGGATTTAGCAGAGAATCACCAGCCCCTAACACTCCTGATAGCATGGGAAATGAATGCTTCAGTAGCAACAGAATGATTAGGATGACATACCATAGTATTCAATACAACTCCAAGCTAAAATACTTGAAAAAGCATACTTGGGTAAAAAATATATTTGCTTCTTAAGATTATTGAATATGACCTGTTCCCATCACAAACAGATGCATATCCCCAGATCTTCAGGACTTGAAAAAGCATACTTAGGTAAAAAAAAAAAAAGTTTTGCTCCTTAAGATTATTGAATATAAACTGTTCCCATCATAAACAGATTAATGTCTCCAGATCTTCAGTATTTGTTTGTTTGTTCATTTGTTTTTTAAGCTCTAAGCCCTTTCTCTATCGTTCACCTTCCAAAGACATTTTCCAAGTCACGAGGGGATTTTATCAATCATTTAGCCAAGGAAATAGTTTCCAAAGAGTTTTCTGATTAATAGCATTTATATACAACATTAATAGTTCTTATGCCATAAAGGATTTAATTTGCCAGTAAATTTGGAAATTGCTAGATTAAACACAGTTAAACATTTTTTAAAGCTACACGACTTTCCTGAGCTTTTGATTATCCTGTATCTATTATGTGTCTGTAAAAGGGATATATGATTTCTAACTTATTTGGTCATAGAACTTTTTTATGGCATGTCTACTTGGACTGTTATTCCAGAAGATACACTTTGAGACATAGTAAATATATTAAGGTACTATAAGCTACTCTGAGAATTAAGTCTTACAATTTCAAAGATTTAACACAGCAGTTTATTTCTCAGTCATTTAAGAGTCCTGTGGGCTTGTTTTTATTTGGTAAGTGGCTTTCCTGCATATGATAAACAGAAGAGCAGGGGTTTTCCTCCTTGTTAATCTGTCCTCCACTAGGATCTCAGAGTCTTTTACCCCCAATGTTGGAGATGGGAGAATAGGTAAAGATGACACATATGCTTCTTAAAAATCCTAAATTGACACATGCCTTATTGCTTACGAAAATTCCATGGCAAGAATTAGTTAGAAAATCCCATGTTGACATAGGGGAAAGCCTGCAGAGAATCTAGACCCTGTCTAGGTAGTTTTTACCAATCCACAAATATATACTATAAAAGGGGAGCACAACATTTTTGTGGGGAACTACCCATGTCTTCTTCACTGAGTTAAAGAAGTTTCTCATTTTATCACATAGTTTATAGGTGAGGAGTTGGGAGAAAAAGGGAATTGAAGGAGTACCTTCTCCCTGCAAAGATAGTTCCAGGCAACCGATTTTGGTAATGCGAATTAATTTTTCCATATGGACATTACTATGCATATTGGTTAGGATGTGTTTCCTATTACTGACAACATACGAATGTTAAATAATAGATTTGAGATTAGTGAGCTAGTCTGAAATCTACCCACAATTTACAATGTTGTCTCTAAGGAAAATGCATTCCTCTTAGTATTAAAAAGGATTTGGATGATTACTATTAGTTTGGAACATGACTCTACTAAGTTTTATATATTTACGTAACACAGTAAAAATGAGTCCAGTAAATAAATTTTGTAAAATTCTATATACTTTCCATTGCTGCGTAGAGATCCTAAAAGTGTTTTAGGTAAAAATTAAAAATTAAATGAAGAGTTTTGTAAAGTTTAGAAAATGATGTTTGTATTTAATGTATTTGGTTGAGAAAAAGCAGTACTTTAACCTTTTGTAAATGCTGAATGATATATTCTTAGCCATAAAGTCTCTTGAGAATATAGATTATGTTCTTCTTACACCAAATCAGCTTTTGAATTTTCATGTGTGTTAGATATCTTTCCAACTATAATGTGCGTTCCTTGGGAGAATAAGCCATACCTTATATTTAATGGCTATCATTTTTTTCAGCGAATATATGCCAAGTTTCAGTTGTATGCCAGCATTCGGCTGGCACTATGGATACATTGATGAACAAGATATAATTTATATTCAAAACCATTTCAATCTATGGGATTAGAGACGAACGAATATATATGACTCAAATATACTGCATAATGGTAGTTACATATGTCTACTGAGTTTGTGGACATTTATTGATCCTGTAACTGAACTCAGGTTCAGTTGCTCACTGCTCGAAAAGCCAGGGACACAAGAAGTGAGGTGTGGTGAAAGGAAGGTAACTTTTATTCCAAATGCCAGCACTTGGGGAGATGTCTGGATTCAAGCTGCAAAGAAACCATCTCAAATTTTTGGTGTGAGTGGAGAGATTTAAAAGGGGAATCTTGGTATGGGAAACATGCAGGAGTGGTGCAGGATAAAGGTCTGCATGTCTTGTTCCAATGGCTATCTTGAGTTTGTCTGGGGTGTGAATTGATACCATATTGGTTACAGCTGAGTTGCAGATGAACCACCTTGAAGTAATCCTTGGGTTGGGGAGAAGTCTGCAGCTGGGTCTCCGTGCCTGGTTTCTTGTAAGATGTACCCCTGGAATTTCTAAGAAAGTATGTAGAGAAGCGTGCATGATGCAAGGGAATGTCTGGTGGGAAAGGAAGAGAAAGAGGGAGTTGCAAAGTACATTTTAATGCTATATTCTCAGTTTAGAGAAAATAAAGTTTTAAAATCCATTTTAAAGCTGAGGCACTTGGTTACAACCTGAGTACATGTATTTCGTTCACTTCTTTGGTGTATGAATAGAATTATTTCAAGTTATAGACCTAAAAGTACACAGACAGTGTAAATAGAAATCTCATTGATGTTCTTTCCCATGGCTTCCCAAAGTGAATTACATACGTGACATATGGTAAGTATTTTAAATAAATAAATAATCTCTAAAAATTTGATGAAAATAATTTTATTTAATCTTGAGATTTACCTATGTGTATATGTATTTTTTTTTATAATTATAATTTTTATTTTATAAAGTATATGTAGATTCATAAAGTAGAAAAAAAAGTGGGAGAAAAAAATTAAATACAAAGTCTGTGGTAATTTTATGACAAAACATAAAATTTTAATGCAGTGACTAAACTATTATGTGAAAAGAAAAGTCACACAATTTCCTGAAGAACATAACTTTTTTCCTGTTACTAAATTTCTAATGCAATTAATCACATATGGAGAACAATTAATAATTTAATGAAAAATGTTCTCAACACTAGTTTTGTGGCAATTTAAGAAGTAGAATTCATGTAGCAAATTATTGTAGGAATCCTCAGTAAAAGCTCCAGACATTGCACTGAAGTTCTCTTCAGTGTAGGAATTCTGCCAGAGGCCACACTCGTATTAGCTCAATATGAAGTCTTTCTGATGCCAGGCTCTATCAAATGTTAGATCGTAGACTTCTAAGAAAAATGAGTAGTTTTTCTCATAGATTTTTTCTTTAACATAACATAATGTCTCTCAGCTAGAATGTTAATGGGAAATTGTAGCCTCTGGCAACTAACGAGGGCTAATATTCTCTATGGCTGATTAAGGACAGATGCATTAGTTTTCTTGATAAGGATAATAAATGTTAGGATAAGCATTTTATTATGAAAATTAAGGAAATAAATGTAATGGAAGACTTATTTACAAATATGTTATCAAAGCCACTGTCCGAAATAATAATTTTGATTGAAATGTTTATAAGATGGGAAAGAAAAAAAGGAAACGCCCTAAACTTTATTCTTAGTTTAAAATAAAAATAACAAACATGCGCGCACACAAATATTTATGTATCACAGAGAAGGATAAAATGCAATTGTTTCTAAAACATTAACTACAAAAATTATTAAATATATTAAAGTATGGTCTGTATCTGATTTTATATTTCAACTCAAATTATTCTTCCCTTATAATGTAAAACAGCTTCAGTTTTATTTTGTTTTATTGTAAAACTTTCCATGTGATATTTTATTTTGTGATAAGATAAATGAATATAAGATTTATTGCTTATATGCATTTGACATATGCCTACTTTTAAAATATTTCTAACAAAATGCACTATGTAACTCTATGGCTTGAAATAATGAGTGGGTTCACCTAACCAGCCTCCTTAGTATCCTAATTAGCATTTATATATAGTTCTTTTTCACCATTTTATTATGTCAGAATTTTAGTAAATCACTCAAAGTGAATTAAATTCCCCAAATAAGACAAAGTCAGTAGAATGTTTTGTTCCTATATAATGCATGATCCTTGTTTCCTAATGTATATTTTATCTCAAAGATATTAAAATACTACAGTAGAATTTTTTAATTAATAGATTTTACTTTTTGAGGAGTTTTAGGTTTACAGGAAAATGAGCAGAATGTACAAACAATTCCCATATATCAACTCACTCCACAACCCCAGTTTCTCCTATTAGTAACGTATTGTATTATTGTGATACATTTGTTACAACTGATGAGTCAATACTGATACATAACAGAGCCGATATTGACATATAATTATTAACTAAAATTCATAATTCACATTAGAATTTACTCTTTGTGTTGTATATTCTAGGGGGTTTGACAAATATACAATGACATGTATCCACCACTGCAGTATAATGTGAAATAGTTTCTCTGCCCTAAAAATTCCCTTTGTTCTACTGAGACATCCCTTCCTCCCTACCCTGAATTCTTGGCAACCACTGATCTTTTGACTGTGTTCATGATTTTGTCTTTTCCAGAATGTCATATAGTTCAGAGGGATTTGATCAAGTCACACAGTAGGAAGGGATGGAGTTTGGTCTAGAATCATGATCTAGGACTGCAATAGCTATTTTCTTTCCATTGAAGTCAATGATATTAAACTTTGGAATGCCTAGTAGATTAGCCCAGGCTAGAGTTGAACCTTTTTCTCTTTTTAAACAAATCTTTAGGAACTGAGCAATGGAATTCAAACTTCTGGGAAAGCTGGGAAATAAGTTTTCAATAGCACTAGACTTAGGCTTAACTCACGTTATTAAACAGAGCTTCTAAACCCAATGGAGATTAGGGAGACCTCTCTTCGTAAGGAAAACAGATAACTGCAGAGATAATGTGTTTGTTGTGTTATACTTTTCTCCATAACCTATACCCATACATTTATTTGCCATTTGTAAGAAACATTCACACATTTTTTTCTGGGTGTATTCTGAGGACTTGAATTCTAGGTCAGAGGACATACATATATCCCAGAATTTAGCATAAGTAGATCTGCAAACAGTTTTCCAAATGTGCCTTCTCACCGGGTAGTATATGAGAGGTTCCACGTGTTTCACATTCTTAGCAGTTCTTGATAGTGCCATTCTTTTTAAGATTTCTGACTCTAATGGATGTGTAGTGAAAACTTGTGGTTTAATTGGCATGTCGCTGATGAGTAATGAGGTTAACCACCTTTTCATAAGTTTACGGGTATTTTACTATCCTTTTCTATGAAGTTTCCATTTCAGTTCATTGGCTTAATTTTCCATTGTGTTGGTTATCTTACTGTTTAATAGGAATTCTCTACAGAATATGAAAAAAATTGTGTGTGTATATGCACACGTACATTTGCATTTACTTGTATTTATGCTTTTATTTTGCCAGTGTGTATGCCTACAAGTGAAATTACTGTCAAAATTTTGCCCTAAATTAGTTGTATCGTAGAAATCCACTATCATTAGAAACCCTCTGCAATGTAGAAATTCTCATTACTTCACGTTCTCTCCTAAACTTGAGATTATTAAAAAAAAATTGTAGTTTTAGTAATTTTGATGGGTTTATGTTGCTATATCATCGTGGTTTATATTTTCATTTGTAGCTGGTCTCATGTATAAAACCACAATTGACTGTTTCATTCAGTAATTTAACTCAAGTCGTTATATTAATTCTAGTTATTCATCCTGTGCATTACTTACATTTTCTGCATACATATTCATGTCACCATCAGATTGCAAATTTTATTTCTGCTTTTCTAAGCCTTTCGTTCCCCCCTTTTCCCTTTCTCTTTTGCATTGTGTAGAGATTTACTTTTATTTGTTATAAGGTGTAGGTTGGTCGTTAATTTCTTTCAGGTTTTTAAGATGTTGTTTATCTGCTCTGTTTCTTATAATTTTTTAAGAAGTTAGCTGTCAGTTTTATTGTTGTTATTCTATAGTTAATGTATTTTTTTCAGTTACTGATTTGAAGATTGTCTTTCTTTTTGATTTGCATTAGCCTTACCACACTGTATATAGTGTAGCTTTTTTTTTGTATTTTTCCTGGTTCCAGTTTCATAGACTTCTTGAATCTATTACTGGATAGTTATTTGTTAAATTTAGTATCCATTATTCTTCAATTAAAATAGCTTAGATATTTTCCTTATCTAAGGTCTACTGGTCTCCTCTATTCCTCTGTACCCCTATTCACTTGTTTTTGGTTTCTATCCACGCATTTGTGAATGAAACATCTTATTGATTTCAATGGTTCTGTCTTTAGCAGTTCCCAATCTCTCGCTGTGCCCATCAATAAAGTTCTTAACATCAAATATTGAATTGTTCATTTCTGGAATTTCCATTTAATTCTTTTTCGTGGATTGCAGTTCCTTCATGAAATTTTGTATCCTCTTATATATTTTTCTGAATACTTGAATTATAATTATTTTGAACCAATATGTGAATCCTCAATTGGATCACCTCTTTTTTTTAATTTGCACTGCTTCTTTTTCCCCTTTAGTACTAATTCTTGGTGTGATAGGTGTTTCTGAATAAACTCTAGATTTAGTGTCTGAAAAAAATGATAAATACTCTCTATAATGTTATCTTTGCTTAGAGAGGATTTACCCTCTGCTCACTAAATAAAATTAAGGTTGGCGATGACATGACACTGTGATTCAGATATTGTGAGTCTCCTCTGAATCTAGATTATTCTGTCTCTAAGATACAATCCTCTATGGCTCCGAAATGAACACTGCAATATTTACTAGAACCCCTTCCCCTGACTGAGCACTAGTATTTAATTTTTGTTCTGCAGCACTATGCTATTTCTGAACATTTTCTTGAAATTCTTATATATTTAAATTTAGCTCCTTAGCCTCTAATCAGCAAATGACTTGAGGGAAAACATACGTAGAGTCCAAGTTATAACTCTCTTCATCTCTCTTTTTCCCAGGATCTTAGTCCCTCCATTTCTGACTGCCTTGACAGACCTGGAATTAAATGTTACAGGCTGGTGTTGAGTGTCTGTGGCTTTTCCAGGCACATGGTGCAAGCTGACAGTGGATCTACCATTCTGGGTCTGGAGGATGGTGGCCCTCTTCTTGCAGCTCCACTAGGCAGTGCCCCAGTAGGAACTCTGTGTGGGGGCTCTGACCCCACATTTCCCTTCTGGACTGCACTAGCAGAGGTTCTCCATGAGGGCCCTGCCCATGCAGCAAACTTTTGCCTGGGCATCCAAGTGTTTCCATACATCTTCTGAAATTTAGGCAGAGGTGTCCAAACCTCATTTCTTGACTTCTGTGCACCTGTAGGCTCAACACCATGTGGAAGTTGCTAAGGCTTGGGGCTTCCACCCTCTGAAGTCACAGCCCAAGCTGTACCTTGGCCCCTTTCAGTCAGGGCAGGAGTGGCTGGGACACAGGGCACCAAATCCCTAGGCTGCACACACAGCCCAGGGACCCTGGGCCCAGCCCACAAAACCACTTTTTCCTCCTGGGCCTCCAGGCCTGTGAAGAGAGGGCCTTCGGTGAAGGTCGCTGTCATGGCCTGGAGATAATTTTTCCCATAGTCTTGGTGATTAACACTAGGTTCCTTGCTACTTATGCAAATTTCTGCAGCCGGCTTGAATTTTTCCCCAGAAAATGGGTTTTTCTTTTCTATCACATAATCAGCCTGCATAATTTCCAAGCCTTTATGCTCTGCTTCCCGACTAAAACTGAATGCCTTTAATAGCACCCAAGTCACCTCTTGAATGCTCTGCTGCTGAGAAATTTCTTCCACCAGGCTGGGCGCGGTGGCTCACGCCTGTAATCCCAGCACTTTGGGAAGCTAAGGCAGGTGGATCACCAGTTCAGGAGATCGAGACCATCCTGGCTAACATGGTGAAACCCCATCTCTACTAAAAATACAAAAAATTAGCCGGGCGTGATGGCGGGCACCTGTAGTCCCAGCTACTGGGAGGCTGAGGCAGGAGAATGGCATGAACCCGGGAGGCAGAGCTTGCAGTGAGCCGAGATAGCGCCAGTGCACTCCAGCCTGGGCGACAGAGTGAGACTGCACCTCAAAAAGAAAAAAAAAGAAATTTCTTCTGCCAGATATTCTAAATCATTTCTCCAAAATTCAAAGTTCCACAAATCTCTAGGGCAGGAGCAAAATGCTGCCAATCCCTTTGCTAAAACGTAACAAGAGTCAGCTTTGCTCCAGTTCCCAACAAGTTCCTTATCTCCATCTGAGACCTGGAATAAGCCTGGAACTTATTGTTCATATCCCTATCAGCATTTGGGCAAAGCCATTCAACAAGTTTGTAGGAAGTTCCAAACTTTCCTACATTTTTCTGTCTTCTTCTGAGCCCTCCAAACTGTTCCAACCTCTGCCTGTTACCCAGTTCCAAAGTCACTTCCTCATTTTAGGGTATCTTTTCAACAACACCACATTCTACTGGTACAAATTTACTGTATTATTCTGTTTTCACACTGCTGATAAAGCCAGACCTGAAGCTGGGAAGAAAAAGAGGTTTAATTGGACTTCTAGTTCCACATAGTTGGGAGGCTTCAGAATCATGGCGGGAGCTGAAGGGCACTTCTTACATGGTGGTGGCAAGAGAAAAATGAGGAAGATGCAAAAGTGAAAACCCCCGATTAAACCCATCAGATCTCATGAGACTTATTCAAACAAGAATAGCACAGGAATGACTGGCCCCCATGATTCAATTACTTCCTCTTGGGTCCCTCCTATAACACATGGGAATTCTGGGAGATACAATTCAAGTTGAGATTTGGGAGGGGACACAGCCAAACCATACCAGTTGGCAAGCAGTTTGAGAAAAAAATGAACAAGGGCTTGAAAGATAAACATCTCTGATTTTCAGCGTCTTGTCACTTCAAACCTAGCTAGCTCAAAATGATGTTACCCCACTTCACACCCATTAGGATGGCTATTATTAAAAAAACAAACAAAAGGTAACAAGTGTTAGTGATGATGTGGAGGAATTGGAAGTCTTGTGCATTGCTGAGAGAGATGTAAAATGGTACAAGCATTGTGAAAATACAGTACACAATTACGCAAAATATTGAATGTAAAATTACCACATGATGCAGCAAATCTGCTTTCGGATATATACTCAAAAGAATTGAAAGCAGAGTCTCAGATATTTGTACACCCTGTTCATAGCAAAGTTATTCACAATATTCAAATGAAGGTTGCAACCCAAGTGCTCATTGACAGATAAACAAATACATAAAATATGGTATATACAGATAGCATAATATTATTTAGCAGCAAAAAGGAAGGAAATTTTGACACATGCTACAACATAGATGACTCTTGAAGACACAGTTAAATAAGTCATATACAAAAGGACAATTGTTGTATGATTACACTTACTTGAGGCTCCTCGAGCAGTTCAGAGAAATAGAAGGTAGAATAGCAGTTACCAGGGGCTGGGGGAGAGGGGATTCAGGAGTTGTTGTTTAATGGGTATAATGTCTTAGCTGGGGTTAATAAAAATTTCTTAAGATGGAGAGTGATGATGGTTACTCAGCATTGTGAATGTACTTAATGCCACTGAACCATACCCTTAAAAATTATTTAAATGGTTAATTTTATTTTAAGTATATTTTACCACAATAAAAAAGCATGTTACCTCCAAAAAGAATTGGTTTTGCACTTTATTATTTATCAGAGATTTTCTAGCTATTATCAGTGGATGCATTAGTCTGCTATAAGCTACTGTGTCATAGGCTCTCTAGTTACTTTTGAACATTCTATAAACTCATTTTTTCAACCTCAGTGAACGTTTGTCAAGTACTTACAAGTACTTGTGCTTGTACATAAAGGTCATTTCGATAAATTCTGGAGATAAAAAGACAAGGAAGACATTATCTCTTCCCTTATTAAAATAAGACCACAGGGATAGAGTATTCAGCAAACCAGTGAACTGTAATGTGTTGCAATAAATACGTGAATAAAAGAAAAATAGGCTGTTATAGAAGCAAAGAAGATGGAACAGGACACATTAAGGGAATGCTTGTAAAACAATAAAACTGTTGCTGTAATTGGATCATAACTAACCAGAGTATGGTTTAGAGTATGAAAAGCATTTTTGGTCATATTTTCCTTGGATACTGACAAAATTGGCTTTTTGAAAGTATAAGAGTGTTAGCAACATGGGAAGAAATCTTAACTGGATACATTAATGACAATAAGAACCTTTAGAAAAATGATATTATATCATAGACTGGAGATGAAAGAAAAAAACAGAATTGAAACAACAGCAGTGAAGATAAAAGGGAAATGTAATTGACCATATCTTCAGCAGATTTTGCTTTATTTTTAACTTCACGTGTAGAAGATTGACGTCATTCTGTTTGTCAGCTGATGAAATAGTGTCTGTATCATTTGTTCCTTCAGTGTTCCTCTGTTATGCTTTACTATTAATGTTGAATTCATTCTTTCATTTCATTTTTTATATTTTCGTTCCATTTCTCTTATTAGCATCTGTTCTCTCTTTATAGTATTCTATTCTTTTTAGTAATTATTTCATTCCCATGTGTTTTTTCCAATATATTCGTCAATTTTATGCACATATTTTAAATTTACATATATTATTTTAGTTCTCACTTTCTTATGTGCTATGTACTCGTCTTTTTAAGTTCCATCCTTTTGGCTAGATCTATTCCTTTGCTTCAGGTAGCTGCATGATACTGTGTGGTGTTCATGCACTATACTTTACTCAGCAAGTGTTCCACTAATAGATGCTTAGGTTTTATTCAAGTACCAACCTCCTAACATGGCTGCACACAAATAAACCATGCAAGCCTATTATCAAACATATTCATAGGATATGGCAACTGATTCGTCGTGTGGAATAAAAAGAAAACATTGACGATGATTCTGAATTTTGTACTGAAAGCTTGGAAGAGCATGGATGGTGAGGTCATTACCTGCAATAACTTATCCTAATATCCCATTAAACATCATAATTTGTGTCCTAAGAGTTTTGTCAATGTTTCTGTATTTAAACATTTAGAGAACAACCATTCTCAGCAATTGTTTTCAGAACTTGGTTTAACATTCACATAGAGAAGAGGTGTTCTTTCTCTGGCTTTTAGGCAGGTGTAAACCAAATTAGATCTGCATTATTTGTCTGGCCTTGAGCGATTACACACAATTACTGTTGTTTACAAATACTTTAAGGAAGTCTATGATAATTGAATTACTGTAGAAGAAAGTTTGCAGTAGAAGTAAAGTGCTTTCGTAGCACTGATTTTTCTTTAATAGAACACTCTGGAGAAAAAAAAACATAATATGTTATAGTTGTCAACATGAATATCCTTTTTTACTAATTTTCTTCCCACTTGGCAGAAATATTAATGTACTAATTTCTCTAACATAGATTAAAGTTCAATTTCATTTTTGAGCATCAGCCTTACCTTTGCCTTAACAATGTCTGTGCACTTGTCCAGGCTGAAGCCAGGAGGACCAATGACTGTGCAGAAATGTGGCTTAAATGACAGACATCCTTTTCTTACCTGCTCCTTAAAACATGAGCACTCTTGTCATAGGGCACTTACATACACATTTGTAGCATCAATACTTGAATTTTCAAATTGGCAATTTAAAACCCCTGTAAAACTTATTGTAAAGGCAAAAAAAGCCAGTTTGTTCACTCTATTTCATAAGAAAGTTTTCAAAAATAAACACTAAATAATGTATGAGGAACAAAGTAGATGCATATTTTAATGAGTTTCAATTTAATTTTTAAAAAGTATTAGGCATTTTATTGCATTTCAATACAAAATATTCCTCAATAAACAAGAGAATAACATTCCATCAGGGAGCAGGATGGAGCAGAGAGAGAAATCAAGCTGTGACAGAGCAATTGCAACCTCGAATAAGCACCACCTGCCCCCAAGCAGGATATTGGGAGCTAGAATGGCTCTTGAGAATTGTCCAAAGGTGAGATGGGACAGCTGGGTCTATACATTCTCACATTTTTGGTCAGTTACATAAGCTACCCACGTGGGTGTCTACCCTTGGAAAGATGGCTTTATTCTGCTGACAAGGATGCCAACTAAGTTTTCTATTGTTGGTGCTCCTAATAGTTGGGGCAAATCCTTCATTGAAATGAGACCAGAAGGCCCATCTTGTGGCATGACCCAGCTCCTCCTTTCTTAGGAGTCTGAGCCTTTCTCAGGCTAAGACGACTGCACTTTTCCATTTACTGTCAAAATTTGCTAAGAAGGTCAATAGCTTCTGGGTCCAAAAACTGATCAAACTTGGGCAAGGAATCTTGACTTCTTTATTGCAGTAACTGCCTTAAGTCTCCTGTGCATCCATCCTTGATATCTTGCCTGCTACCAATTGAACAGGACCTTTGTTGAAGAAACATTTTCTTAGCCTCCATGGACAGCAAGAGTTATTAAGCATCTCCTTATAACCTTCTATGTGTTACACCCTGGTTGTCCCTCTGACCTGGCCCCTCATTGCCATAATTCTGTTCATCCGGCTTCTGGCTATTTATATCTGTTGTGTCAATGCTCTGCCATCTCCATTGCTAAAAGTGGGCCCTGTTTTATAACCATCTTTTCTATTATCAGCTCTGACCCATGCAGGGGAGGTACCACTGGACTTCTTGGTGATTCTTGTATCATTCTCACCCAGAATTTTTAATGGCCTTGATAATTGGCATGTCCTCTGTGCTTTTCCATAGATCATACTCATTTGGTAGGTTTTCCGACCCTACCCAGTATGTTCATTCCACTATATCTACTTTCCTGAGACTTTCATTCTCTTTTTCACCATCTGCCATAGCAATTCTGGTATTTTAACCTGACTTAACTGGGTCATCACTTTTCCCATACTTCCGGGAGTCATTCTAGTAACAAGTTAGAATCGTCTCCTGTAGTCCTTTCCAATAGTAAAATTCTTTATCCCAGGAGAGTACTCAAAATCTAATCTTATGTTCTGACCACCTGATCAAGCACCCTCAGAAAATAATCTCACCCCTTCTCTCCCTCGTCTTGCTGATACCTGCTGATTGGGCTTGTCACTCCTTCTAAATAGATAATAGTCTCTTCCACCTTATCAGGGCCAACTCATACACAGCTTTGTGTTGCAACTAAGCCCTAGTTTTGTAGACAGTGGCCAGGAGAACAGGTGAATAAAGATAGACAAGGAAGGGGACAATTGCAGACTTTTTTGTGGAAGGCTTCTGCATGTCTTCCATCAATCAGCTGGGGAGTTCCAGCCATATATTGGGAGGGGTGGCCTACTTCTAAAGGTGTATAAATTTTAGGGAACTATGGAGATACTTGAAAGGGCTTACAGACAGAGAATACTCACTCACAGTCCTCCCAGTAATTGGGAAAATAGGTCCTTCCTTTAATGGCCATATGGACAGCACTTCCCTCTGTACACCTGGAACAGTGCCAGAGTAAAGGCAAGTAGAACAATTGAAAACAAGTGTGTGGGATGTGGTGACTGGTCCATTATGAGGATTAGAAATGAAGAGTCCAGGATGAGATACAGATTTCCATTAAATAGAGATGATAGTAATTCTTTGAGGTAAGGAGCACAACAGAAGAAACAGTTCCAGTTGAGAGATGATTACTTTGTTTGAGACACATTTGGTTTGGGATACCTGTGAAATCCAGAAAACAGTAGGCAGTAAGCAGCTGAATCCCTTTGTCTCAAATTCAAAAGATAAATCTGGGTTTTAAAACTCTGGTTGTAAACCACCGTGAGATATCATCTCACACCAGCCAGAATGGCTATGATTAAAAAGTCATAACATAACAGATACTGGCGAAGTTGCAAAGAAAAGAGAATGCTTATACACTGTTGATGGGAGTGTAAATTATTTCAGTCATTGTGGAAAGCAGTGAGGCAGTTTCTCAAAGAGCTAAAAACAGGACTGTCATTAGATCTAGAAATCCCATTACTGGGTATATACCCAAAGGAATATAATCATTCTATCATAAAGACACATGCACATGTATGTTCACTGCAGCACTATTCATAATATCAAAGACATAGAATCAACATAAATGCCCATCAATAGCAGGCTGAATGCCCATCATTTGTAGACTGAATAAAAAATGTGGCACCTATACACTATGGAATACTATGTAGCCAAGAAAAAATAAGAATGATATCATGTCCTTTGCAGGAACATGGATGGAACTAGAGGCCATTATCCTTAGCAAATTAACACAGAAGCAGAAAACCAAATACTATATGTTATCACTTATAAGAGGGAGCTAAATGATGGGAACACATGGACACATGGGGGAAACAATATACACTGGGGTCTACTAGAGGATGGAAGGTGGGAGGAGGGAGCAGATCAGAATAAATAACTACTGGGAACTAGGATTAGTCCTGTTGAGGAGATAATCTGTATAACAAACCCCTATGACATGAGTTTATATAACAAACCTGCAGATGTACCCCTGAACCTAAAAGTTTTTTTTAAAAAATACGGTTGTAAAAATAAATTTTGGAATTAACATTGAGTAAAGAGATGTTGTATACCTGCCTGCAATAAGCTTATAACCTGATGCAGGTATAATGACAAGCTGACACACAAACAAATAGAGACTGGCACAAGCTCTGGGAAGACTGTTGAAGGAAATGTGTATGGCGCTGTAACTCGAAAGTTCTGAGCTTGTATGGAAGATATCTTCAGCAAGATTTGTCTGAATTTCTATACAAAGGATGAGACAGAGATAATTATCAAGGAGGAAAAGGATTGGAGAGAGACAATAATATATGCCATTCCCCTGTGGCAGGAGCTTGATTTAGCTAAAGGTATGTCTGTCTGTGACAGCTGATAAACAAATAAAACTTAGAAAGTATGCCATGTGGAAGTATAATAAGGTATAACGGATAAGATGTTAAAAAGAAGCTAATATTACATATTTTCCAAATGGGTGATTACCAGCATCTGTAATGAAATTAACCAGATTCAAGAAGAGATGCAAGACTTCATGTTTTAGGAAAAAAAATTCATCCTTGGAATTCAAGGGTGAGATAGATAGAAATCTACAGCACCCTTCAAAGAAGCTTATAGGGTCTTTTAAAATTCAGTTGAGAGATGACCCATTGCATTTCTGCATGAAAGGTTCTCCTTGATGTTTGGAAGGATCTTCAGACACTAAAACTCCAAGGGACTTCTTTAGTCTAAGAGGCTAAATGTTACAGTTTTATAAACTCAATAAAGCACATCCTAAATCACCATGGAGATTAGGAGCTTCGTGAACCATAAAGCAACCCAGCGTCAGAAAACTGTTATCAATCATATTGCTGCCTAATCCCAAGGAGAGTCAACTTGCTCATCTGTGTCTTCATGTGCTTTCTGTCCTTTCTCTGTTGACATTTACCTAATAGTTCCTCAGTCCCAGCTCAGAAGGATATCTGTACTTTTAAGATCAGCAGTTTAATCTTACCTACACCTGTTCTTCCACTTAACTCTTCTAAATACACAGTCGGAAATACACACAGGCACACACAAGTTACTTCTGTATAATGAATGTATTACAAAAAAGTATATATGAAGAAGTAAAAAAGTGAACTTTTTATTTCCAGAAAACATAGATTTAGATTCCTTTAAAACAGTCTATGGGTGTACAAATAACCATAGTTTGTTCAGATGGCTTCGTTTTCATGGAGGACTTTATAAGCACTCCAAACTAGAGTTTTGTCATATCAGAACTCTCTTTTCAGAATACCACAATGCAAATTTGAGGCAAATAAGAAATTTGTGCTGGGAAATGAATCAGGGAAACAAACAAAAAAGCACAAATAAATTAAGAAGATATACAAATTAACTCAGAAATAGTTAAACTAATAATGAAGACTATTAGGGAAGCTATATTGGGATTACATAATACAATAAATGTAACATGTTCTATACCTGTAGTACCTGCCCCGACTAAGAGTGAGAGGACTGGACTTGTGTTCTGGATGAGTAGCTAACTAGGTGCACAAAACTAACAACCTAATTTATTTTCTGTGTTACATAAAATGAGGAAAAAAATATGTCAGTTTTACAGGATTGTTGTGATGTGTCATAGGCTCAATATCTGCTGAAGTGCTGTATGAACTGAGCTATTATTAATATATTTAGTGCCATAGTTAGGGTGGAAATTAAAGATGTTGTCTTATGAGTCTAGAAGAAATTCCTATAAAAGGCTTTACCCTAAGGAGTGCTTTGGTAGGGTACCCTACCCCATAGTCTTATCCTTAACTTAAGGGTCTAGAAATGTGATTTTGTTCAAGTCAAGAGGTGATTCTCCTTTTAGGAAATAAATTATAGTAACAGACAAATATTTGCAAAAACAGAGGTGTATTCAGGATTACCTCCCTGGCTCATTTTTTACTGAAAATAGGAAGTGACACCCGTAAAGCAGATCACATTTCTAGCCATGTTCAGTATTTAAAACTAGCTAGGAAGTCACATTAGGACGCAACTGAATCTTTACATAGACTTCCTAAACATCTGTGGAGACAGGAGCTTATAACTCCTTAATCACCTATTTTTGAGACTCCATGCTAAAAAATATAACTCCATTTTAAATGGTCTTTCTTCAGAGTTGGTAAAATATGAATAATTCATCCCTGTATTTCCCTGGTGTATTTAAAGTATTTCCCTGGTGTATTTAAAGGGGTATTATTTCACCTACTCTAAAAGGTGGGTTATGTGAGGGGAGGACCCATTGACCAAAATGTTAGGAGACCTCTGTATTAGACACAGTGTGTTTCTCTACTGCAAACTCATCTGAATGTTAATATGCTAATGTGTACTATGAATATCTGAGTAGGAGTATATCATGCAATGGTTTTCTAAATTTATTTGAAAAAGTAACTTTTTTTTTTCACCAGGTCATTAATTCTGGTATTCTATTAAGCACAGTTGGGAAAGACAAGCATGCTAATAGTGAACCTTTAGTCTTTATTGCCTTGTTAAAAGATTAACATATGGAAGTCCCTCAGCCCCCTACTTACAGATGGCAATTTTTAGGGTACAAAACATTATTATTAATCCATTACTTATTATTTTCCTTAAGTTAAATGCCTGAGGCTCTTTGCAGTTGTCTCCATTTACCATCAAGAAATATGATTTGTTTATGATAGCACCCTTGGCTTTTCGATATAGTATTCTTTTACAGCAAGTCTCTCCCACAACCACTGATTTGGTTCCCAGCAGGTAACCTTAACTTCCAGTTAAAGTGGATGTTGTTTCTATGCACATTGAAATCTGCATCATGTAACTAATATTAGACTGAGCTATACCAGTTGATTTTTGCTGACAGTGATTCCAATTGCCTGTAGAAAAATATATTTTTTTCTCAAAAATATTGAATTTAAAATATGTATGTGTTCCAAGTGTTCCTACTGGATTGAATAGCTATGGTCCGTTCTCCATTTCGTATGTGAACATTTTATATATATACACATATATGTATATATATGTATATATATGTGTGTATAGATATATAGACACACATATAATATATACAAACCTATATAGGAGAACATTATATATATACACACACTATATATATGCATATAAGTATATTCTATATATCTACATACTCTATACTCTATTGCAAACCAAATTTTATAATTTAAATATAATTAAATGTTATGATTTTACCATTTATATATCAAGTTACTGAATACTCTGGGTGGTTCCTTATTTGTAGTCTCATTGGATTTATTCATTTATTTATGTAAGGCTATTCAAGTACCGTAGTGAGAAGGGGAAAAGAGTAGAAGGATTTTGATCTGTAGCTGACTGTGAACAATCAATTGAGATAACTCACTACCTTCAGACCAGCCTCACTGGATTTATTAAGTGCGTCCGTTTTTACTCCATCATAGGCCACTATGATCCTATCCATTTTGTCAAATTAACATATTTTTATTTTTTATTTTATTTTATTTTATTTTTTTGAGACAGAGTCTCTCTCTGTCGCCCAGGCTGGAGTGCAGTGGCGCGATCTCGGCTCACCGCAAGCTCCGCCTCCCGGGTTCACACCATTCTCCTGCCCCAACCTCCTGAGTAGCTGGGACTACAGGCACCCACCACCACGCCCGACTAATTTTTTTGTATTTTATTTTTAGTAGAGACGGGGTTTCACCGTGTTAGCCAGGATGGTCTCGATCTCCTGAACTCGTGATCCGCCCGCTTCGGCCTCCCAAAGTACTGGGATTACAGGCGTGAGCCACTGTGCACGGTCATCATATTTTTATTTTTAATTTTTCATCCTGCATTTTTTTGTGGAGCAATTATATATGTTCTTTGAGGCTAGTGATATGTGGATAGTTAAAATAAAAATATGTATTTGGGTAATACTTAGAATAAGGATATGTATAAGGGAAATATGTATTTATATTTATTCATAAATATATTACATGTATTGTATAAATGTATTATATATGTGTGTCTTTTCATAAGTATGAATACATATTTCCCTGATACATATTTCCTGTATTATCAGTAGAGAAAATTTTGGAAAACAAATGAAAATTTTTTTATCATGCTTTTAAAAAAGCATTTGCATATCTAAAGGAACACCAGTGCACTTAAGAGAAACAAAATACAATATTTAATATTATATTTAATACAAAAGTATATTAAAAACTTTCTTTTATAACCCTGACAACTGAAGGTACATAAATTATGAAATTTGAACAACTATTGGCAAAGAACAAAGGTGATAAATCATATTCAGGATGGTAAAAGTTATATTATTAACAGCAATCTATAAAAATGTTTCCGTACAAGTTGAATTAGAGGTCAAATTCCTAGGTCTGTCAATTGTTACCACTATAGAGTTTATTTCCTGATAATATGCAGGAATACAGGGAGGCCAATTAAAATGAAAATAAAATACAAGCTTACAGCAAACAACATTGTAAAACACACATATAAAGCAGGCCATCAACTTATGTTTTGTTTGTTTTTTCTTTTATGCTTGGGGAAAAACAGCTCAGTATAAAGTATTAAAAAACACAGCATAAACCACATGCTTTGCTTAGGTATATTAAAGAGAACCTCCTCCTCTTTAATTAGAAGTTGAAGTTAATTTTTTCTTACTGATGTAACATAGATTTAAAAATTAATAGCAAAATGAAGTTTAAATATGGTTTTTAATTTCATTGAAACAATTTAATATTTCCATTCTTTATGTATTCCTTTTATTTTATTGAAAATATTTAATTCTTAATGTCTTACAAATATTTGTCATACCAAACTCCAAGTTGTCTCGAAACTGTGTCTTTAAGATTTTTTCCTCATACAAATTTAAATATATAATAAATAATATCTTTAGATATTCAAAATAATAAAAACACATGTATCTACCTTCCTTCCTATTGAATTTGTTTTGAAATGTGTAATACTGGTAATTTGAAAGGGGATTTTTGGTTTTATCCAGAAAAGATGTCTAAAATGTATATTTGCTTCTCTTGCAGCTCTTGGAGTCCTTCAATTTTGTTTGAAAAGCTTTTTTAGTGATAAATCATTCATCAGATTTTCTCTATTTTTAATCGATACATCTATTTTAAAATATTTTCTTAATTTCATGCCAAAATGCTCAGCACTATGGCCATTACATTTCTCTGGTAAGCAGTATCTTAAATCTTTGGAGTAGAAAACATTTATTTAACCTCTAATTTCAGGTAACTCAAGAGGAGGGAGTGAATTACCATGAGATCATTGCAAAGTTCTGGCTGTGGATTTTAAATTTCAAATGTCATTTTAAATTTAAATTTAAACAGTCATTTTAAATTTAAATTTAAAATTTAAACAGTCACTTTAAATTTAAATTTAAATATTCTTAAATCGTAGGTTTGAATGTCAACAAAGAGAATATTATTTTTTCATTCGGTCTCTTATAAGAAATTCCAATAAGTATTTCTTAACAAATAATCCTCTACTTTGTCAAAAAAAAGAAAATTATGCTAAAGATTACTTTCAGTTTTTAAAGACAAATTCTATAAATTTTAGTAATTGTGATCTTCACAAGCATATTAATTTAGTTTTGGAGTTTTTGTTATTTAAGTAAAGAGGTAAATTCTATTCAATTCAACAATCAAGCATTTTACTAACCACATACTTCATATCCACTGTTGGAAGGATTATGTAAGATGAAGAAATGAACATGAAGATAAATAAGATTGATCATAAACTTTTAAAGAAGAGGTAAAAATGTATACACAGTTAACTAAAATTAGAATCAGAATATGATACATTTTATAAGAAATACTAATAGAGCATTTTCTAAATATAAAGTAGAAAACAATGTTATTTCTGACTAGGATATTAATCATGGCCTTCTTTGGACAGGTAATTCTTTGGAATACGGTAAGAGCATTAAAAGGAAATGGCAGTGAAGATTATCTCAAGCAGCTAGAATGCATGGATCAAGAAATTTTGATGGCAAAACGTGGAGCTGTTCTGAAAAACAAACAAAAAACTGCTGGCAGTACAGTTTAGTGGAAGTATAAGTTGAGTGATGATGAAAAAAAAGCAAATACAAACAAACCAAAACAAAAAACAAATACCAACACCAACAAACAGCTAAAAACAAACAGGATTGGAGGAGACACTTAGCAAATCTAGAAATTCATTCTAAAGGAGGGGGTTGGGGCACACTGGAAGAGTCTGTTTTATAATATTTCCCCTAAACAAGAATATGATGATCACAGTGGATTATTTAGAAAGCATAGTAAATATTCAAAATGGAGGACACAGATCTATACCCAGAGGCTAAGGTGACACTTTGGGCTTTTGAGCAAGCATAATACTAAAATAATAAAATAACAATATAAACAGTGGTTAGGTGGCAATCTCCAAGCTGGAGATAAAGTGATCTTGAACTGTCATAGTGTCATTGGAAATGAAAAAGAAGAAATAAAAATAAGAGAAGTTGATATTTTTTAAATGTGTTGATTAGACAATCTACTTTTTAAAATATTAATTTTCAATAACCCACAAGTAAAGGGAATAACTATTAAAAATATACCAGGTCCAATAGTAATTCACTTACATAGTGTCTCATTAAATTAATACAACATCCCTGTGAGGAATACTGTTATTTGTCTGATGTTTATAAAATACACATTTGGGTTTAGATAGACAACATGTCAAAGTCAACAGTTAATAAATAAAAAAGTCAAGTTTCAAACCCTAAATGTCTGATTTCATATCCCCTTCTAAAATGACACTATACTGTCTGTGAACAATAGGTAAATCACATGTGCCCTAGTCAGTTTTTGCTACTATAACAAAATACTGGAGACTAGGTAATTTAGAAGAAAAAAAAACGCAGAAAATATTTTCTTACAGTTTTGAAGGCTGGGAAGTCCAAGATCAAGGCACTAGCAGGTTGTGTTGTCTGATGAAGGCTGCTGTTTGCTTCCAAGTTGGCACAGTGTTGCTGTGTCCTCCAGAGGGAAGGAATGCTCTGTATCCTACCTGGGGGAAGGCAGAAGAGCAAGAGGTCGAAACACTGCGTGAAGCTTCATTTACCTCTTTTATAAGGGCCTTAGTTCCATTCACAAGGGAGGAGCCCTCCTGGCCTAATAATGTCTTAAAGCCTCCACCTCTTAATACTATCACATTGGCCCTTAAGTTTCAACACCTAAATTTTAGAGGGGACACATTTGAACCATAGCAATGATGAACAAGAGTATCATAACTATAATGATATGAAATTTGGTGTAGATTATACTGAAGTTCAAAGATAGTTTCTCTTAAAATAACATGAGTTTTTATAAGACAAAAACTAAAAATTTAAGTAAAATGTTAATAATAGTTAAAACTATTGAGTAGTTTGACATAAATTAGGCACTATTTTAAGCTTTCTACATCCTCATGTAATCTTTATCATAGACACATAACTTATGTTACCATTCCATTTACAGATGATAAAATTAAGACACAAAGTGATTAGTTAAGTGATTGGCACTTAACAAAGGGAAGAAGTGGCAGAACCAAGACAAGGTCTAGGTGTAGTACATTAGAGTCTGTTACCTTCTGGTAACAATGTCTTCCTGAACAGAAAATTAACAAATCATTTTCTCCCTTTCAGATAATGAAGGGATCAGGAAAATCATCAGACACTAAAAATAAATTTAATTTATAATGCTCTTGCAGAAGGAAAAGCAAATTTCATCAACTCATAAATAGTTACTGGACTTAATGCCTGAGTGTGAGAGTCAGGTTGATTATATATGGAATATATGTTATACAGCTTTATACATTTTATCATTTCATCTAGGTAATATGGAAAACCTTGAAAATTCGTTTTTTCATACAAGACAGGAAAAAGAAAGGGAGAAATAGACACAGTGAAGTGCGATTAGATTTACAACACGGTGTTATAAGAGCAGTCCTTGTCCAGCATGGTGAAACCCTGTCTCTACTAAAAGTACAAAAGTTATCTGGGCGTGGCAGTGCACACCTGTAGTCCCTGCTACTCAGGAGGCTGAGGCAGGAGAATCACTTGAACCTGGGAGGTGGAGGTTGCAGTGAGCCAAGATTGCGCCGCTGCACTCCAGCCTGGCGAAAGAGCGAGACTCCATCTCAAAACAAACAAGCAAAAACAGTCCTACATTTACAGAGGGGAATTCTGTTTTATCTAATTTAAATGAAATGTGATGGTATATCTGAAATCATATATTAAGTAGAAAATATAAGAAGAAAACACACGAAGCTCAAGACTGAAAACTCCAAAATCAAAGATGCACATAGCATAAGTAATAACACACTTAACTGTGGATGCCCAGTCCTCTTATTTCCAGCCATCTCATCAGAACATTTTTTAGTATTAATATTGAAATGGGAATTACAATTGTGTTAGAACTAGTTTCCATTGCTCTGAAATAGTCTCCCAGTGAAATTAGGTATTTCTGTAACAACTCCAAGGAGCGCACTTCAGAACATTTTCTCCCAGCAGGCATTTAAGAATATATATGGACAGTCACTGTGTGAAATTTAGTCCAGAAAATTCCATTTATACAAAATAGTGTTTTAAAGCCCCATGTCATGTTATAGGTTCTAATTAATACTCTTGGTTTCCTGAATACCAGATAATTCTCTGTCTTCTTAAATCTACCTCCACCCCTGGGGTGTTCTGTAAGTCTTATCATGCCTGAAAATGCTCTGAACTTCAAGATCTCCAAATCCAAAATTACTCTTTCTGGTGATAAACCTGTCTTCATATTATAATTGCCATATTTCTTAACATCCATTGACCTTCATCATTAGTTTATCACCATTTGCCATTCTTTGACTATGCACTATTTTGGTAACCCAACCCCACTTCTGACTTTCCTTGTCATGCTTCAATGAGAAAAATAATGGTTAGTCATTTGAAAACATCTATTTTTTTTTGCCACTTTAAGAATACCACATCTTTATGACTTTCTGTCATTCCTGTCTAGCAAATCCTCACTTTTGAGTTTCTCTCACTGTCAATTCTGTTTCTGTTCTTAAATAACTACAGTGCTGCAAAACCACACTTATTAGAGCCAGTAAGTGGGTGGTAATGTAATTGAATGTCTAAATCTGAGCCACTTTTTATTTTTGAAAATGTAAGAGGATACTATAAAACTGGTGTAAATCAGCCCTTTCTCAGAGAAACCAGGATGTATTATCATCCTAACAGAAATGTATGTATTTTCTCATCTGAATAACTCTTTAATTCCACTTGAAATCGTTCATTCATTTTGGGTTGGTTTCCTGTAAGGCATTTCCAGCATCAGTTTTGACATTTTCACTTGCCTCAAGGAACAAATTTCTTCACTCTCATCCTAATTTTAATTTAACCCAAATCTCTTACTTTCTCCTTCTATGGGGCAATCCAGACCTCGTCACCTCCAAATGTCCCTCTTACTCTGTGGTCATTATCCTTTAGTCTGGCTTTTTAAAAAATTTAAAGAGTCCTTCAATTCTTAGTTAAATCCTATTCGTTTTTTTCTCTCTTCAAAATTTTTCTATAACGTATTTTCTGTTGCTGATATCATAATGTTATATAATTCTACCTCAATGGCTTTCTCTTTTGGAGGGGTTAGGCCATTATATTCCCTCAACTTTCGTCTGATACTGATCACAACATCCCTGAACACATAAAAGATATTTTCCCAACCCATTGACATCATCCAAGAATTTATCCTTGGTTTTATAAACATCTGTCTACGTTGGGCTTGCTTATCCATAGTGACAGATTCAAGTATTTCTTGACACGTCCTCATCTTTTTTTTTTTTTTTTTTTGAGACGGAGTCTCACTCTTTCGCCCAGGCTGGAGTTCAGTGGAGCGATCTCGGCTCATTTGTGGCTCCGCCTCCCGGGTTCGTGCCATTCTCCTGCCTCAGCCTTCCGAGTACCTGGGACTACAGGCGCCCGCCACCAAGCCCGGCTAATTTTTTGTATTTTTAGTAGAGACAGGGTTTCACCGTGTTAGCCAGAATGGTCTTGATCTCCTGACGTCGTGATCCGCCCGCCTCTACGTTCCGAAGTACTGGGATTTTACAGGCATGAGCCACCGCGCCGGGCCCACGTCCTCATCCCTTTCTGTGGATGTGCTGGTTGATATATATATATATATATATATATATATATATATATATATATATATGTGTGTGTGTGTGTGTGTGTGTGTGTGTATACAGATATGTATATATAATTATATATGATTATGTATTGTCCTATAATTAAAATATGATTATATATCATTGATTATATGTGATTATATACATGATCAACTATATATTATATATAATCAACTATATGTGATTATATATGATCTATTATATATGATTATGATTATATATAATCTATTATATATGATTTTGATTATATATCTATTATATATGATTATGATTATATATAATCTATTATATATGATTTTATATATATATAACCAATTTTACAATGGAGATATAATGTTAGAAAGTGAAAAGCTAAATTTGCTTTGGGATTGAGCCTACAAATTTTACTATTTCAGTTTTTAAAGTCACTATATTTTCTTATTCATGCTTAGTTGTGAAACCTTGGATGAATCTTGAAAGTTCTTCCTTTCTGTGTCTATACATAAAATTAGTCAACAAGTCTGTAAATTTTTCTTCCACCATATTCCTCAAACTACTACGCAATTATGCATTATTAGTAATACTGTATCAGTTAGCCCTAAACAGTACTTCTGCCAGATTAATCTTCTTGAAGCCTGCCTCCAATCATTTCAAGCTATTGAACTATGTAAGAACCTTTATAGTGTCTTCTTTTGGAATCTGACTTAAGTACATTCTCCTTAAATTATATGTATGGCTTTCCTTTCTCCGGCTCCAAAATGTACTCTCCATTGCTTTCTCTCCCAATATTCAAAAATAGAAATCTCATACATTAGTGAGATCAGATGCTGTTATCTAAATGTTGCCAGAATGTTTATTTTGTTCCACCCTCCAGGGACCTTCCCTGTTGAAATTCCACATTCTTAACAACTTTATCGTAGTCAATCTCTTCCATGAGAAATGGTTTACTATCTTATCAGATATAAAACCTCCTTTCTTTAATTCCCAGTAGCACTCTGTTTAGTAATTTTATTCTGTCTCATGAGCATTATTTGTGTACCTGTTTTATCCTTCTCAAAAACTGCTCTTTTCTAAAGGATCTGACAGACACCTACTCATGGTTTGAACACTGGAACATCATGGTTACTAATATCAGACAATCATTAATTACTTGTTAAAATTATTGTATCAATGTGACTCTGAATATTTTAGAGTTATTTGTATAACTGTAATGTAAAAATATTACTAGATTTCTCTGCAAACAAAGTTATTTCCAACAGTCAGGTAGCAAGCATCATTATACAAAATAAATAGTTGAACTGACTGATGCATGAAGAAAGTAAAGGATTTATTCGTGGGCAAATCCTAGTCCCTGGTAGAGCTCGAAGAAGACACAGTCCTTTAAATCCTCTTTTCCTGTTCATTTTAAATAGAGCCCTCTATATGCATGCAAAGGGCTGCAAACATTAATTAAGTAGATTCAATCTCTCATTTTCCTTAAATCATCACTGATTTGAGCTCACTGTTTTCTCAATTTAGGCCTAAGAAAATTATGGCCAGATATTCATTCTCCAATTAACCTAAAAGTGAACTATATTTCATTGCTTGTAGGATGGTATGGGAAATCTGAGAGTCACCAAGAAGGGAATCCGACTTGAAGGTATATCTGAGTTTCTACTTCCATTGTATGTGAAAGAAATTCATTCTCGAAAGGTATGTGATACTGGCTTTGGCTTACTCTAAAAGATAATTTAGAGGTTATGTTTTAGCTTGAAATAGCAGGGTAGAATCCCCTTATCTCTTCAGCATGTGTTTAGTTTCCTTAAGCTAAACACCTATGTTTAGAAATCAAAATGATAACATCATTGAAAATCAGTGGAGGTTAGTTTCAACCCGACAAATCTTAGAGAACCATTTTGAACTAACCTGCAGTGTAGCTTTTCTACTCTATAAAATGTGCCTCTCTATTTTCACTGGAAATTAAAATATAAAGTTACAGTAAATCCCAAGGGGGCATTTGATATGTCTTGAATAATTTTTTCAAAAAGGCACTGATTTGAATTAATGATTTTAAGTCAACATACTATGTATCTGATCAGCATTAATAGACATGCATTTTCTAAAAGAAATGACAAAGAATTTTAATGTAGAAATTAATTTCTGGATGTACGTGATGTAAAACAAGCGAGAATATTTATCCTTCAAATATGAGTGTGTTCACATGTGCTACCTGTGTTTTATCTCTTAGAAGCATGCTAAAAATTAAGATTGTAGCTTAGATTTTGTTCATTTTGGCTTATGTACATTACCTCTCAGAAGGCAGTAAATATTCTTGGATATATCAAAAACTTACTAGAATTTTTCATATCTATTACATTCCCCCTGAGATATTTTTCTTCCATGTGTATTTGTGGAAATAAGTTTATTAAGAGAGAAGTAATGGAAATTGTGTTATATAAAAGTGGGAAAAAAGGTTATACTTTTTTCATAAATGTGAAAGTCTATTTTAGGCTAAAATAATGTTTTAATATTTTAATCAATGTAGAAGATTAGCAAATGGGTTGCATAGTGAGCCATAATTTAAATAATTTGTATTAAAGTTATTTTTCCTTAAGTATGAAAATGAAAACAGAACAAAGGATTGCTTCTCATAAAACATTTAATTAGGATATTAACTTTAAATTTCTTTTTTAAAATATGCAAACTGATACAGCTTCTAATATACTGTATTGACTCTACTCTGGTACTAGAAATTTTATTTTGGTACTCCTTTAGTTTCTGGGTATCGTTCAGACAAGTAACACAGTAGACAGATGTATGAATACCTGACCTTACATAATTAAACTTTTAAAAAGAATTAAATTTAAAATGAAAAGTTTAGTTCTTTTGCTTTATTTTGTTTTTGTGAAAAGCGGAAACAAAAAGCCTGGTTACACATGTTAGTGTCTTACTTTCATTGATAGTCACCATCTTTGACAGTTATTTACTGAGTCCTTGTGTTTGGCACTATTAAATAATGCAGTATTTGAAGGAATGAAAACTTATACATGGAAATCAAGAAACTGCTAAACATAGGAAGCAAGTGAAACTAAGCATAGGCCAAAACTTCTCTGAAAATGCCTCCTTACTGATAAGTCCAGGGACAGCAGAAATGATTTATCTCTAAAGTCACTTAGGTTCATTTGTAGTCGCTACGTGGGAACAAAATTTTAATGATTGTGAAACCCTCTACCAGCAGGCAGGTTGTAGAATTTATCTTCTCAGCCAGGACATTTCTGAGAGCATAACAACAGGTGTCAAATTAGGATTCTCTTGAGAAACAGGAGTATGTGTGGATTCCACCTATGGACCATAGAGGATGGAGTCCACTAACATTATAGCATTAACGTGTGAGGTGGAGCCACTTGCGCTTCCTAGTTTCCATCCCCGAGAAAGCTAACTCCATGTTCACAAGCATTTCCAAAACCTACTGTATTGACTGAAGAATATATGCTCCGCTTCATATCCCAGCCCTGATGCTGGTCCTTCCTGTGTCTTCCTTCATTATTGTTTGTCTCCCTATAACTAGGAAGCATGGGCAGGCACATTGGTAGCCAGACAGGAAATCTGGTGCAAGAACAGAAATAGGAGTGGACTCATACACTTCTTGGAAAATTCTCTGCACATACACTTCAAAAATAAACATGAACGAAATCTCCAGACTGCCTTCCACAGTGGCTGAACTATTTTATGAACCTAAAAGTTGGATAAATATTTAAAATAAAGAGAAAAATGTATTTTATAAGCACCTCTCACATTATGATTCACTTGTCCATGAATGTCATTTACTATTTACTTCTATAAAGCCAGCCACAATTTCTCTTAGCCTTAGTTTGTTCATTATTAAGTGAGTTTGGTAGAAAGTTATCAAAGTGCTTAACTCTTAGGTTAAGGAAGAACACAAACATTTCAATAATGAAAGCAGAAATGATGTTTTTAATTTTAAAAATTCTGTTAAACATTTCAATCTTTTCACGGATTTTCATATAGTCAACAATTTTATGATAAAATTCCAAAGTTCGTGTAGTTCTAAGGTAAGGAAATCTATTAGAAAATCTAAAAGGCACTTTGGAAGATTCAGTGAAGCTGAGAGAAAAAAAATGCTGGGTAGAATAATTTTGATTTCTGTGTGTGGTTGTGTATGTTTAACCTCTATTAATGCCATGCTGTTGCTCTCTTTAAATTTAGCCAGTATTTCACTCTGACATACAGAATTTTCTTATTTAAAATTACTTTGTGGTTGTACAGGCCTTTAGTCCTACACATGGAAAGATAATAAAGAGATGTCTATTGAACAGAAGATGCAGTCACCCATAAATACACATCTAGCCACCTAACCTAATCAACTATGGGCTGGGCCAACTTTACAAGCTCCTCTCACCCTCTCTCCATCGCTAAATATCTACAGACTTTTAAGGTTCTATGATTAGCCTCAGCAATTCACACCCTTCTTCAGGCTTTTCAAAAGTTAACCCAAGTAGTCCAGCAAAAAAAGTAAACAGAAAAACATATCATAGTGTATCCAGGAAATATCTTAGAATTCAATGTATTTTTCAAAATTAACATTATTCTCAGGGAAGATTACTCATAGAACATTTGTGAAGTTAAATATATAATACTATTCAGACAAGAACAATACAAAAGATGTGTAATCTGGGCTAGTTTATATAAATGGTAATGATGATAACATTCTGCATCTCTTTTCAAGGCACTTGGTCCAACTTTAGGCCAAAACATTTCAAATATCGGGAATTTAGGACACCTAATCTTCAGACTTTTTAAAACACTTAATTGGAGTATGTTTCCCAAGGTTACACGAGTCCAAGGTAGTCATGTTGTCAAATTACATACATTTAACTACTTCTAACCAGCAAAATTTGCATCGTGTAGTTCTTCAGAACCTCTTATCTGAGACGAACTAAACAGCCCTCTTGGTTTGTTTGTTTCCTGTTCAAGGACTCTTAGGTGAGGTGGTATCTCACCACTGCCACTGATCCCAGCTTCCTACATGACAGACTGGAAGTGGTGACAGAGGAACTACTACCAGATAATTCAAATTCCAGTAACTCCACAGTTAAGCACATCAGTCTTGAGTTCTCAGGATGCCCGTGTTAGCAGAGGTGTGAATAAGGCTCTGCTTTTCCCATCATGTCCCTTTCACTGTGATGTTAACCCAGTTCTTGGTTCCACCAGTTCTGCACCTTGTGTGTTCAATTATTCTTTATAGAATTCAGACAAAAAGCTGTATACATACGTAACAAACTTGCACATTGTGCACCTGTACCCTAGAACTTAAAGTATAATAATATAATAATAATAGTAATAATAATTATAATAATAAAAGAATTCAGTCACAAAGCCATGGGGCCAGGCGAGCACAGCAAATGTCTTTCCTGATTACATGACATGCTAATCTCCTTACCTCTTTCATTCAGGTAACACGGCAAATCTGGTCTATTTAGGTTTCTTTCTTTCATACTAGCTAATTCATATACATAGATATCTGAAGGCTTTCATAATCATTGTATTATCATGGTTATCATTATCATATTATATTTACATTTTTAATGCAGATAAAGTTTATGCTTTTACATTAATCAGTAATCACTTTAGTCAAGTTTTAAAGAAACACAAACCACTCCAAAGTCTTTACACTCAGAAAAAAAAATACTGTTAACATTTCATGAACATATCACCGGTATATAATTATATATTTGCACAAATAAAAGGATAAAATATATACATATGTGAACTGTAATTAATATATGTAATTTAATCGAAAAAATAAAAATAAATTAGGAAATGGCTGAACTTAAATATTTCTTCACCACAAGAACTTTTTAAAATAAAACTTGTCTTTATGGTTAAGAATAAAAGATTATAAATACCATTAAGAAGCTGAATGCATTAGCTCCATGTTTTAATTTCAGACAGCTTTTCTTAACTCCCTGCAGTGTGATTGGAGATGATTAGCTGCTCTCCAGTTTGTCCTCACTTCTCTTCATTTCCAGTTTGTTGATAATTATATTACTTTAACTTTGTCAGAATTCATAATATTTACATTCAGTTCTGCAAATTTAACTGCCTCGGGTCTTTGGTCTTGATTCTACATATAAATGGCTACAGTTACTCATCGTCTGTGGTCTTCTTTATATTATGGATTTTCCATTTCTCAGTTCATTAGTCCAATCATTCCTTCCCTCCTAGTATTCTTAATTAGTTTTGTTTGCTAGTTTTGATTTGTTTTATTTACCTGCATGGGGGATTTTCCTGGAAAAGCCAGAAAATTTGCTAGACAGATTCTGAAAGAACTGTAACAGTGCTAGTTGGTTTTTTAATCCTTGAAATCATTCATGCTTCGGGTGTCTGACTGTTGCCTTTATGCTTTTCTGGGAGTGTTATTAATGGTTCATGCCTTCCTTGCCTCAGATTTGTGAACACACTTCACTATTAAGTCCAAGCACTGAATATTGCCGGAAGAAATCCAAGGGCACCTTGGTATTTTTCTCCTTTTGATGACATGAATGTTCTGCTTGGATGCCTGCTATATTTTTGCCATTTCACTTTTTTCATTTCAGAGAAATTTTACCTATTTTGCCACTTAATAGCTTTTCAGTTTTATTCGTTGGTTTCTTCTACTTCAGAGAAAGCAATAATTCTTATGTTAGGTCATCTTTGTTCCCCACAGCTATCATAATTTCATGAATAATTTTTAACTCTTTATATGATTCCTCTAAATACAAGTGACTGTCATCTAGAGTTTTTCTACGATTCCATTCATTTATTTTTTTTCAAATAAGTTTTGCCCTTACGCTCTCTAATTCATATTTTTTTTTGTATAATAGTGAATCTCAGAATTTTCCTTTGGTCTACAATCTTCTTTTATCTTATAACGATTTTTTACTGTCTATGAGTTTGGTTTTATTAAAATTATATAATGCTGAAGTTTTAATGATTGAAGCACTTACTTAGTTTGATTATTCCTGATGAGTTACTGTCTAGCTCTTCTGTTTGTTTTGCTAGAGAGATTGTGGTTGGAAAGGGAAAGGCAGACTGTGACTGTTCTGTCTCTTCTGAGGTTTTGAGGTGTTTCTAAATGATTTGTGCCAACCAGACCTGGATTTTAATTCCGTGGTTCTTAGCTGCACTTTCTCTCCTGTAGAATACTTCCAATGGTGTACACAGTGCTCAATACTTATGAGCTTTTTCTAGCACTCTCTATGTACTGTCTGCTTTTTCTCTATCCACATTAGTTTATCTGGGCTTGACTTTCATTAATATGTTTCTGGAGATATGGGTTAGGTTTGGGTAGGGATTCATGGTCTGTGGTGCTATGAAATAATCTTTTTTTTGACTTCTGCTTTTTATGTTTTATATCATAAACTTGTATTATGAAATTGTTGGTTGTTCAAAAAAATTTAAAGAAGTAATTGTTAAAGCGTGAGGGAGATTTGTAAAAACTTTTCTGGAGTTTGATGTATAGTATTAGGTAGGATCCTTTCTTCCTCTATCTCTTCCTTTTCTTGCCCTTCTCCCTCTTCCTCCTGTTCCTCTCCTTTTCTCTTCCCCCCTTTCCCGCCTTTCCTCTTCCTTGTTTCTTTCTTTCTTTCTTTCTTTTGAAAAACCAATAGTCCCCAATACCATAATTGGAATAGTCATATTTTTATTACCGAATTGAAATACAACCTTTCTTATACACTGCATTCTCAAGCATACATAGATTTATTTCCAGTAACTCTATGCTGTTCTACTGATATACTTGCAAGAAACCCAAAGTCTAGCTGTAAGAAGTTTTTTTTTTTTTCTAATTGGTAGAGTGATTCCTTTGTTTTTGCTATTTTTGAAAGGCTTTTGCCTATCGTGCATTTTGTCTTCAAAATAAACTTAATAATCCGTTGTGAAGTTTCATAAAAATTTCTGTTGGGAAGCTAATTATGGTTACATTTAATTTTTGGAGAATGACATCTTTGTGTTAGGTTGGTGCAAAAGCAATTGCAGTTTTTGCCATGACTTTTATGGCAAAAATCACAGTTACTTTTGCACTAACCTGACAGTATTGAGTCCCCTTATCTAGGAGCCTGGCTCTTCTCTCATTTCTTTCTAAACCTCTTTCGTGTTGTTCAGAAACATTTCTTAACAATCTTCTCCTTATAAGCATTGCATATTTCCTGTTAGTCATTTAATGTTTTTATTGTCTAAGTTTATAGATTTTCAATTCCGTTTTGTCATAGACCCCTGTGCTTGTGTGGAAAAGCTATTATTTGGGGTGTTTGGGTGTTGTGTATATAATCTGGCAATTTTCTTGAAATTTTATTATTTCTGTGGCTCATCTGACAGATAATGATTTTTAATAATAGCTAACATTCAGCATACACTACAGCTCTGGAGTCCAATAACTGGTTTCAAATCTTGGCACTTGTAACTTTAGTTAACCCCTCTTTGCCTTAGTTTTATCATCTGCAAGATGAAGTTCATAGTAGCACCTAATATTTTAATGACTACACTGTTATAGTTGTTAGATGAGATAAAAGCAATATAACCTTACCACAGTGGCCAACTCAAGGAATATTATTTTTAATTATTTTTATTCCCAGCCAAACATTGCGCTAAATGTTTTACATGTGTTAGCTCATTTAATCCTTACTATGTGATAGGCATTATTGTCAAGGAGAGTATGATTCAAAAGTAGAATCAAAGGATTTGATGGCAAATTTGCATATGGGATGTTAAGAGGAAGAGTAAATGTAACATGATGTCAAGATTTTTTGGTCTGAGCAATTGCCACTAATCACTGCAAAGAAGAATTGGGAATGTAGGGGTGGGGGTAGGTTAGGAGCACAGTTGTGGAACTATTAATTTTGTCTGTTAGATGAGCATGCTGGTGGACATATGAGTCTAGATTTCATGTTGGAAGTGCAGGGCGTGTGTGTGTGTGTGTGTGTGTGTGTGTGTGTGTGTGTGTGTCTATAATAAATGAGATTGGACAGGAATACCAAGGAAGTAAGAATAGATGGGAATTATAAGATTTCCGTGGAATGAATCGTTGGGCACTCTAATATTGAAGAGTTTGAGAAGAAGTGAAACAGCCAATCACAGTCTAAGACACAAAGGCCAGTGAGAGGTCAAAAAACCAAAATAATATGATATCCTGGAAAGAGAGAAGAAAGGTGAAAGTGTTTCCGGGTTGAAAGAGTGCAAAACAGCCTCTGATAGGTCAAGTAACATGGAGACTACAAATCCTTCCTTCTATTAACTCGATTATGCTTTAGTCAGGCATAATTGTTATCATGTAAATTACAGTTGAGTCAGGCCTATTATGTTTTTTCACATATTTGTAGATATCAAGATGATTTTATCATTTTTCTTATTTAATATATTGAGTAAATGACCTGAAAAGATATACAAATGGTGATGTATTCTTTTATTATTGAGATGAACTTTCCTTGTTCATGAGGTAGCAATCTTAATAAATTGTTGAATTAAGTTTACTAATATTTTACTATGAATTATTGCATATGCTCAGTTCTAGGTTTTTTCTCCCTATATTTCATTTTATTTTTCTCACTTTTCCCTTAATATTTTATTAAATCTATTCATTGAGAGACTTTAAGTTTGGTCCTATACATTACATCAATTTTAATAACATAGGATTACTTGTTCTTAAAGGTATGATTTAATTCCACCATGAAATTGCCTAGTCATGGAGACTTTTCTGACTCAAAATATTTGACTAATTTTCTAATTTTTGTATGAAAATTGTTCTCTAATATTCTAAATCAACAGAACTCGCTTTTGTTACATTTTGTATTCGTACAAAATTTTCCCTTTACATAGACATATCATTTAATACCTAATGTTGCCTTTTTGTGTTTTTCCTTCTTTTTTATTTAAATATTCTGAACAGTCATTTGTTTTCCTACTATATTTTTTTTTATTTTACTTAGAACCAGTTTTAGTTTGAATCAATTAAATATTTTTATATTTTTAAATTCCTTTTTCTGCTTTTCTTTTTTATATGTACTTATTGTCATTTTTCTGATTTATTGAATTGAATGCTTGAGTATTCTGTTTTCAATATTTTCTGTTTCAAGTAAATCTATCTTAGGCCTTGAAGTTATTATCAAGTGTTTAGGCCACATCTCATGTGTCTAATAATATCCTCTGACTTTTTTTATTTATAAGTAAGTTCTAATATTTACTTTGATTTTCTTCTTATTCAAAAGTAGTTGTAAAAGGGAGTTACTATTAAATTGTGCGTGGGTTAACTTTGCTTTGACTGTTTTTTATCCTTATCCCCTTGCATCACACACACCTTCCATTTGCTTCATAATCTTTAGAGTTTTAACTTTTTAGTTTGCTATTTGACTATAGTGCTGAACTAGAAATAACCCAGGGGCCATGTCTGTTTTGGTTACCAAATTATTACCCAGCCGGTAACCTATAGCAAGGCAATCAAAAACAAATATTTGCTATTGTTAATGATTTCTATATAACGTAATTTGCTAAGCTTCAGTTGGATTTGAATTTGATTTCACAACAATCCTGTCAGGTGGACAATGTAGGTCATTTTATTCCCATTTTGCAGATGACTCACTGGAGACTTAGGAAATATAAGTGATGCATCCAAAGTTTCAGGACTCCAAGGTGAGCCAGAATTCAAACCTCAAGTCACTTCTTCCTCTATACACCTCATCTGCATAAAAGTAGATTCTGCATTGTGTGCCTGTAAACAGACTCTTTTAATTAATCCGTAGCAAATATTTACACTATTTCTGACAGCATTAGACATAATGGGACTTGAATGTTTGCAATTTTGATGAACTTAGCCTTTTTCTGTTCCATTTTGCAAACATTTGCAAATAATTCATCTAAACCTCCTTCTAGGGGTTGTATGCATCCTGCTGGTTAAGAGACACCCAGTGGTGAACATAGAAACGGTAGCATTCATTTGCATAATAAAATGCTTTTTAATATTTTTAGAGCCAGACATCTTTAACTGGGTCCACTAAAAGCTGAGGAAAATATGTAAATACAAACATAAGTAAATTAAATCTTTATGCAAATTTGTGTGGCTCAGATATGCCCTTGAACCAACCCATGTACCCACTGATGAAAACACTGAAACCATTCACTTACCTACTGATTGTAGTTCAAATTCTTTTTAACATTAAACTTTGCAATTTACAAAGCATTTTTATTCTTATTACTTTACTTAATCCCTAATGCTAGACATGAAAGATATTGTCTTGTATATGGCAATTCAGTTGCCTCAAATCATGCAACCTAAAAGTCAATACTATGACTGGAACGAGATTTTCAATGCTGATTCATTGTTTTCTGACAATTCACACTCTACAAATATCTTTTTTACATATTCAGAAAAAAAATCTGTATTTTGATTTATATTGGTTGAATGCTGGACTGCAACCTTAGAAGAAAGTATGAGATAGTTTCAGCTCTTTGGACTACGTTAAGAGTGGGGAAAAAAAATAATACTATGATAGAAGACCCTCATTAAAACTGGGAGACAGTTTGAAGTTGCTAAATAATATGTGTGGGCAAACTTGGTTGCAGAGGTGCGACATTCTTTGGACTTAAAAATAAACAAACAAAAAAGCATGTTAGGGCAGCTTTAAAAGGAGTTCTTCTTACTGCGTATTTTTTTCTACAGATTACACCATTGTATGTCACTGGTGAGGTCTCTCAGACACTACTGAAGCCTTACAAAAAAATGAAGATCCCTTCATCACCTCAAATTTAATTGCCTTTATAAACAAATGCTTTAAGAATTACCTGTGGTTTTTCATCTTTCTCTCCACCAACACACACACACACACACACACACACACACACACACACACACACAGAGAGATGATATAACCCTATACTTTTGTCTTTCCCCAAGAAAGATGAGAGCTGATGACATAGCAGACCTAGAATAAACAGGAAGCACATATCAGCTCAGATTGCTATTCTATAAAGTACCAGATTTGTGTGAATAACAACCTATTTCAGAGAATCTGTAACAGGGAAATATTAAGAAAAGGGTAACGCTGAGATGCTAGTCAATATTACATATCTTTAAATTCCTTAAAATAATCTAATATAACAGTGTCATCCAGTGTTAAGAGTTATCAGACCAGCCAGGCATGGTGGCCCACACCTGTAATCCCAGAACTTTGGGAGGCCAAGGAAGGTGGACCACTTGAGGTCAGGCAGATCATTTTAGGTCGGGTGTTTGAGACCAGTCTGGCCAACATGGCAAAGCCTTGTCACTACTAAAAATACAAAAATTAGCTGGGCATGGTGGCTTACACTTGTAATCCTAGCTATTTGGGAGGAGGCTGAGGCATGAGAATCACTTGAACTCAGGAGGCGGAGGATGCAGTGAGCCGAGATGGCGCAACTGTGATCCAGCCTGGGAGAGCGAGTCTGTGTCTCAAAATAAATAAATTAATTAATTTAAAAAATCAGCCCTGGGGTAGCAGACAAAATTATGTAACAGAAACCTTTTACTACATCTTGGATAGTTCCTACTACCAATTATTAAGTACTTTTCAAGTATTAATTGCTGAAGGGCCTGGGTCACATTCTCAACCAGTTCTAACAGCATTCCATAGGAAGTAGACATTAGCATACTCATTAGAATACTCTCACAGCTGCGAAAGAGAACTTGGCTCGAAGTAGTTATGTAACTTATCTGAGTATCATGAAAAAACGTTGTTGAGCAGGAATGCAAGTCCAGGTCTGTCAAGCTTTGATCCTTATGTCCTTAACCACTGGGAAATTCCTACAATAGTGAAAGGAATCCGCAGTCTTCTTAGTAAGAAGGTGAAGGGAATGTCTATAGAATTCTATTATTATTCCTGTTCTGGGAAACATTCTTGACTTACTCTAATAGTTTTCTTCAGATTCATGCTGTGTAGTTTTTCTTTAAATTGGTATTTTGACTCTATAATTTTTTTGTTTGCATAAAGAAACATGGAGCCATATCATATTGATGCCACTCTCCAGTGGATAGGAATTTTAAAGAAGTATCAGTGTTATTTCCCTTCCTCTTCCTCCTCCTCCTCCTCTTCCTGCTCCTCTTCCTCCTCCTCCTCCTCTTCCTCCTCCTCTTCCTCTTCCTCTTCTTCTTCTTTCTGTGGAGACAGAGTCTAGCTATGTTGTCTAGGCTAGAGTGCAGTGGCTATTCACAGGTGTGATTATCGCACACTGGAGCTTCAAGTTCCTGGCCTCAAGCAGCCCTCCTGACTCAGCTTTCCAAGTAGCTAGGATTACAAGCACCAACAGTATTATTTCTTATAATGAAGCCAAAAGAAATTGTTCTCCAACTAGTATATTCTTTCACTACCCGAAAATCACATATTTGCATGTACGTGGGCTGACTACTGCTATATAGAATCCTCTAAGTCACGATGAAGAGAAAGATTTACTAAAAAATTACTTTTTTTCCCCAAAACTCTAGGAGCAGACCACAAAAAATATATTAGCAGTACTTAAACTAGTTTAGTGTTTTTCAATCTTTTTTGAATTTGAACCACAGTAAGAAACACATTTTACACGTTCTGAACGTTTCAAATCTATTCTAGCCAAGTGCATCTATTCTAATTTAATTATAGGCATGTATACATATACGTATAAAGAATTGTTGCAACCAACTAAATGATTTCATGACCCTTTGATATGTTTCATCAACAGCTTCAAAAAAACATTGTCCCCACTAATAGCTACTAAAATAACTCATTCAGTAAGTTTGTGGCAAGATATTTTGTTTCCAGTGTCACATATGTAATGGAATCTGCATTATAAAATATGAAACACTTTGTTTATTCCAAAGAACAAAGTGCAAAATATGTATATTCTATAGAGCAGCAATCTTATGTTTTGATCACTTCATACAACACTGCCTCTTATATATTAAGTGCCCAGTGACATTTTTAAACTTTTTATTACAGTGTATTTACATACAGAAAAAAATACACATTTCAGTGAACATTCACTTTACTGGGTGAATGAATGATTCGTATATTCAAAGAATACAAATTAAATCTTTGAAAATATACTTCTCCATCACTTTAGACAAACAGAATGCTTTGCATATGTAAGAGCTGACCTCATTATTCCTGATGTTTTATTCTTGTTTCACAAGTTTTTACCAATATAAACAAGGGTAAATTAGATCGTAGAATGAAATTGTATTGTCTAAAAATAGTAGTCATATTCTTTCAATAGTTATGGAGATTATGTGATCCAAAAAGATTTGAAGAGATCTAGCTGTGAATTTTCTGGGCTTTATGGCTTTATTGTGTTCCTATCTGTGTAAATGTAACTGACTCAGCACCCATATCCTCCTGTCAGTAGCATGCACCAAAAATAACAGAAAACCAGGGACAGGATGGTAGTACTTCAGCTGCAGAATGATATTGTTCTATGTTTTTTTATGACTGTGGAACTATGGTGGTGCTTGTTGAAGTTGTTTCTATCAGTTAAAGTTACTCTTCTTTAGAAGTCAGGCCTGGGAACTGAGCATGTAAACAATTACTAGTGACAATATTTTAAAATGAAATCAGGTCCTCTACACTAAATTACTGTGCATGAATCAACCTTGTATGTTTCTATATGGACAAATTTGAATCGGGCTATGAGGAATGGTTGGATTGGAATTCAAAATCACTTGATGTTTGTAAGAAAAAAAATTATTTATAAAAGACATCGTTTGTCCAGGAAGCTGTGACTAGGTCAGTTTGGTTTCATCTGAGAAATCCTGTGAAGCAATAGTCTCAAACCCAGAAAAGCATACCCTTAAGTGTGTTCCAAGATTTTCCACGGGGTACACAGACATGGATATTTTATCTGAAATTCTCAAGTTTCAAGGGCACCCTGTCTGAAATTTGGTCTACCCTGAGACTCTGAAGCTTGCTACTACTGGTTTTTCCGAATTTTCTATTACCACCATATTTCCCTTATTTTAAAAATGTTCACATGGAAGACACCACAAAAGAAGACATAATACAGAGACTGTCTTGCAATAAGAAGTACAAATCCCTTCTATAAAGATGGAGGAATAAAAGGACAAATCTAGTTGCCTAAAAGACAATTCACTGTACACATTTTATTTACAGTTTTGTATAGTGTCTTAATATGAATGGGACTGCTTTACTCCTTGAGCCATTTTTAACCAAAGCAAAATAACCTAAGTAATACAAGGTGCTAACCTGCACATTGTGCACATGTACCCTAAAACTTAAAGTATAATAAAAATAAAAAAAAGATACAAAAACAGACATACTAATTCTAGTTAGGAATGCAATTATGATGTTACATTTTTTATAAACCACAATTATGTTTAGGAAATCACACAAACATAGATCACTGATTTGAGTGAAATGCATAAATTTGTAGCAAAGCTTTGTAGTTATAAGAAACAAAAAAATTACCAAAGACTGCACAAAATTAATGTTTATTCCACCTTTCTGTCATATTCCTGGATCCTTCACCAATGTTACATGAGGAAAAAAACAAAAGCAAAACAAATCAAAAACTGAAATCAGAATCACTAATACTATCAAATAGGGAAACAAATAAATTAAAATCTATCAGCCATCAGGAAGAGTACAGCAAAGACAATGCTGTAAAAAGAAACAAAGAAAATTGCTAGAAAACTGTATGCATCATAATCTTTCAAACCAGCAAAATATGCTCCTGCATACAATGGAACAACAGAATTTTTTTTTCCTGTAAAGTATAGAAATGCCAAGTTTTTTTTTGACTATTGTGGATGGGTAAAATTTGTATGTAATTAATGGTAATTCTACTGAACTATTACAGAGTGGGCCAGGAACACATTTATGGATTCTGGGGATGTGTACTGTATATTCTTTGATTGGGATAGCAGAAACTCTAGCCAAAAAAAGAAAAAAAAAATGAACACAGAAGTACAAGACAAAGGCGAATGAGACTTCTCTTATACCTTAGTAACATTTAGATGGAAATGAAATTTAAATGCAGTCCACTCTGCTTTTTGAAGAGGCTTTGGTTCAGCTCCCAAATCTCGATTGCTTAACTCAGTCTCCTGTGAGAATACTCAGAAGGTGTCTTCTTAAACAACAAACCTATTTTTAGTGGTGGAGCCGCTCTTAGTAGCTGTGTCTGCGTGGGACTGATAACCAGTCACTATCTTTGGATGAAGTCCTAACCTTTCCTTGTTATACCGTCCCTGTATGTGTAACAGCTTCTTTGTTTTCACATTCAGTAGTCCACACTGCTCTCTTATCACAATTAGCTCTAACATTAACAACAGCGCCACATACATCATCACTGCAGTCATCAGAAGATTGTCCAATAAGGCACAGAAGTGTCTCTAGCCAAAAGCGATCGAGGTCACTTCGTCTCTGCTGACTGTTCAATGTAATTAGCCATCGTCCTCCCCATTTGTTTTTCTCATCTTCCCACATAGTCTCAATACCATCCTTAAAAAGTGAGTAGTCACAGCCAGGCATTAAATTACTAGACAACTGGATATGGTTGTACAGAGCCCAGAAGTCTTCAACAGTATCAAACTTAGAGATCAGCCGCAGCAGGTTTGCTTGCCAAGTTTTGCTTTTTTCGTTTTTAAAAAACCAGAGTGCCCATCTGTTCTGTAGGGGATGTTTAATATAGTGTTCTGGGTTAGCAACCTCCTGATGAGATTCCGTTTTCTCCTCTTCTGTAGTTGGGGAATTAAGAGTAGGGGAGGCTTCCGGTTTCATTTTCTGGTAAAAGTGAGGCTGAGGCCGGGTGCGGTTTGGAATTCATCCTCAAGACACTGAAACTCTGAAGTGCCAATCAGCTTACACTTTGTTAGTCTACTGGATTTCAAATTAAGAAAATGTATTTCTTTGCGAATATCAAACAGACATTTTATTAACTGAAGAAAGGGCTTCATTCTTTCCCATTAGTTTTGTTTATGGAGGTTTAATGCATTAGACCATCACTGTTTCTGATATTTCTGAGAAATAGTGTGTTACAAATTTTATTAATGGCATGGTACCGCGGCACAAAGATAAGTAATTTGTTAAAAATTGAAACACACGGTATCTTCATACTAAAATCCATCCCTCTTATGTATTATAAATTAGAATATTTTTATTGTCTGGATGGATGTTTTATAAATTTTTTTTAGACGTGGCATTGTTTCTTAAATAAAATCATAGAAAAACAAACACAAGCAGTATAAAGGCCAGGGGCAAGGGGGTCTTTCTTCTCTAATGGCACGAGTTTGCAATGCCCTTGGTACCCTGCATTGAAGCTTGAACCCTGCCTTTGACCAATATCTCTCGGTCATTCTGTGCTTTTCTTGTCGTACACTCAGTAGACTAATCAAAAGAATATCCACTCACAAATACTGCAGATAGTTCTCTATCCAAATTTTTTTACAGCACATTTCTTCCTCACTGTAAAAGCTCATTGTTTATTGTCATCATAACAATAAGGCCTATCACTTATTGTCATGACTTCACCTTTCCGTGCGCTTTCATTATAGTTTCCCTCTAATTTTCCTTTGGTTTGCATTAATAAAATAATTGAAAGATTTAGGTATAATCTCCTCTTGTAATGTTCTATATGTCCAGCAATTGAAATCTCCTTTGAAGAAATAAGTAGTCTCCTATAAATAAGAACTTGCTTTGAAATAGCAAGTTCATTTTTGACAAAATGAATAATCTTTATCCCTAATTTACTAAGATATTGTTCCCCCGAATCGTATGAAAGTTCTTTCCTTGGTCATGGCATCCACCCAAATACAGATCTCTGTCATTTGCTTAATGTCTTCACCCCCTAAAAGGTACACACAAAACTGACTACCGTTTTAAGGAATTGGAGAGTTAAACTTTGGTATGCAAATAATTTGAAATGCAAAATAGACCACTTACTCTTTAAAATTGTTTTACCACATTGCTAAATCACCCTTGCCATCTTGCCTATGACCTCTTTTTCTTGCCCTTGCTTTCACGATGAGAAAATTATTTCATCTATATGTTTGTATGTCTTTATATTAAAAAAGATGAAAAAAATCACCACTTTGTTAATAAAATTTATATCAGATAATAAAATAAAACATGGGACAGATCACAAATTTTATGTGGACATTTCTGTGTTTTCAAAATTCTTATACCAAGCATCTGTCATAGGACCAAAGTGTGATCCACTTTAATGCCGCAATTTTAGTGCCCTGTCCCTCAGTTACAGACCCTTTCTTTTTTTGCTGAAGAAAGGTTAGGTCAACCTACATAATTAAGGAAAGGAAAGGGATTGGGAGAGGGAGAGAAAAACTGGAATGTACTGTAGTTATTTGCCAGATCCTGGAAAAGTGAATATGGACGGGAAAGGAATTATGCATTTATATTCTTTTCATCATTTTTCAGATATGCAAATAGAAGTTTTGAACTATTGAAATTTACTTTGTGTAGCTGAACTGTTTCTTTGACCCTGGCACCACTCTGAAACTGAATTACATGGTCTAGTCTTGAACCAAATTACAAAAGTATTAATTTTGAAATTTGAATGACTGGAAAATAAGGAAGGTAACAATAAGAGGAAAAGTCAATTAAATGTCCTATTTTTTCATGTGTCTGATATTCATTACTTTATTCCCACAGATGCTCTTGTTATGATCACTTAAGTTAAAGTTATTATAGCAGTACTTGCTCTTTTTCTGATAAAATATTTGTTAAATTCATTTTCTCTTTCCCATTTCTTGAAATGCAAATTAGTGCAAATATTCTCCTTCAATTTAACTTAGGTATAATTAGTGACTGCTATTTCATTTCTTGCTGAGAACTATTTGTGAAGTGAATTATTTAAACAAGCTGCTATAAAGTATCATTTTCTGTCTGCTTTTTATCCTCTAGTACTTGTGGAGCACAAAGAAGTAATGTATTAATACATGTTTATTTTTCTTTTACTTTTGCATCCATTCTTTTTATAAGTTTTCCTGAATTTAATACTGATATTTACCACATTTTTTATTTGATCAGGGAGGAGGACAACAGAAATTGACCACAAATAATGCAAATGCATGCAAATTTACAATGACACTTATTTTTTCTTCTTAATTCAGTGTCTATATGACACAGTGTCATTGTTGCCTTCCTCATGTATCTGTGATTTGCCATCAGCTTGTCATGTCTTGTTTCAGGCATATTGTTTTTGCCATGTTGGTGGTCCTCTTTTGGTCATCAAAAATTAAACCAGGGAAGTAGAATCAAAATACTCCTGCTCATGCCAGGTAACAGAGTTTATCAAAGAGATAAACTGGAAAATAATCCAATCTAGTAGAATGATTTTACAGAGAAATTACAATATTTCCCAGTGCTTTACATTTTATTTGGAATAATGTGAAATTGGCTAAATAGTTAATCAAGCACCTAATCTCTTATGTTATTTCAAAATTAATGAGTATTATGGACAGCTACATAGCTTCTAGCAGGAAATATATAAAATACTATTTTTGATTAAGTACTTTATGTCCATCTATAATGTTATTGAATTTAATATTTTGCTTTAATCATGGTGAGATTTGTAAACTACTTTTGTTGTCATGATGGTTATGGAAATAGTTTAATTTTCTAAAAGTTATATGTAATGATGGATTCAGTTAGCTTTTGCTGAAAAACAAAACAAAAAACCTTTGCCCAAAACTTAATAGCTTAAAACCACAAGGATTCATTTTGTCAACTTTGTTTAGTAGGCAGTTTTCCTTGTTTACACAAAGTGACCTGGGGCTGAATAACCTAGAATACCCTAACATAAGTGTCTAAGTCGGTATGATGGTTGAAATGGCACTCCATGTGGTCTCATCCAGTAGGAGGTTAGTCCGGGCTTGAACACGTGGTGGCAGAATGGTGCCCAGCGGCAATAGAGAGTGAGTCCCAAAGTGAAAGTATTTCTCAATCCTTTGCTTAGGGGCAAGTTTACTAATGTCCCATAAACCAATACAAGTTACAAGGTTGAGCCCGGATTTAAGTGATAAGAAATTGATTCAACTTACTGACTGGAGGAATAGTAAAGTCACTTTGCAAAGGGAAATACAGCGATGGGAAAAATTTGCAAGCTACCACAAAGACTATCATTATTTCTTGTCTTAATAGTTTTATAGCTTTTCTTTATTTTGTAGTTTAGTAATAACACTCTCTCTGACAGACTGAACTATGATTGTATGCATTTGTTTTTAAAGGAGTGAACATTTGTTAGTTAAATTTAATAAGATTAATTTTATTTTTGAAATTCAAAATCAAATAAAATTTCTAGATTTTTGCTATTCCACATTTACAACAGAATTTTGAATGGCTTTTGAAGATATAGACCTCATGAAACCTCATTGAGATTTTTGAAAAGTCTTGGTTTAGGGACATTGATGCCTTCCCGTAGTTTTAAAATAAGCATTATAAGTATTAGAAATATTGCACGCTGTGGTCATATCAAAAAATGTTATTTCTGTGGCATTAATGTTAATTGTAAGGCATCTGTCATGCTAACCATTGTTCATCCTTTTGAATTCATGTTTTGTTGTTCATATGATAGTTATATTGGTAGATTATTTGTTACATTGATTGCCCTATAAAGACTTAACATTTGACTTAATGTTATATTAAAATGAATATCAGTAAAATAAGATATGTACTAAATCTATTTTATCTACCATCTTTACATATTAAAACACTGTAAGTTAAGCAATACTATTGTAATGCCCCATGTATGCTGTTTACATCAATACTCAATTCAATTAATATTAAAGATTTTCATGTAATCATCATAGTCTTATCTTCCCCAAATTTTAATTTATTGATAATTTTGCTAAGTCTACACACCTCTGAAGCTTGATTCTGTTTTATTTTCTACTTTAGGCAATGTCTTACTGCTGTAATGTAACCAAATTATATCCATAATTAATGCAAAACTAGGTGTGCTATTTCTGGAATTACCATTGAATGATTTCAGTTTTCATTTTACACAGTTAAAATAGCCTTATAGTTTTCAAATGTAGCCACAGAGAATATTTACTAAATACTTTGATCCCTTTTTCAGGAAGTGAAATAAATTCCACGAATAATGCATTACCATAGCTATGGCATGTAAAGCTACATAAACCTGAGCGATATTTATTTTACTTTTCTGTTATAAAAATACTTTCATTTCATTTTCACTTTCTTAGAGACACTTTGTTGCCCAGGCTGGATTGCAGTTGCATGATGATGACTCACTGTAGCCTTGACCGCTGGTCTCAAGTGATCCTCCAACCTCAGCCTCCTAAGTACCTGGGTCCACAGGCATGTGCCACCATGCCTGGCTAATTTTTGTACTTTTTGTAGAGACAAAGTTTTACTGTATTGCCCATGCTGGTCTCAAACTCATGGGCTCAAGCAATCCTTCTGCCTCAGCATCCCAAAGTGATGGTATTACAGGTGTGCACCACCACACCTGGCCTTTTTAATTTTTTAAAATTTTCTTTACTTTTTTGTGTAGACGGTATTTACCATGTTGCCTAGGCTGGTCTCGAACTCCTGGGCTCAAGCGATCCTCCTGCCTCAGCCTCCTAGAGTGCTGGAATTACAAGTGGGAGCTACAACATCCAGCACCTATATTTTCATTTGAAAATAGGAATGCTGAATCCCTTATAGGTGGCCTTATGATTTCATCATTCCTTTTTTCACAAATGTAAAGCCATTATTAAAAAATAGCAAACTGGCCGGGTGCAGTGGCTCACGCCTGCAATCCTAGCACTTTGGGAGGCCGAGGCAGGAGTATCACTTGAGGTCAGGAGTTCGAGGCCAGCTTGGCCAATGTGGTGAAACCCTATCTCTACTAAAAATAGAAAAATTAGCTGGGCTTGGTGGCGGGTGCCTATAATCCTAGCCACTCGGGAGACTGAAGCAGGAGAATGGCCTGATCCCAGGGAATGGAGGTTGCAGTGAGCCGAGATCGCGCCACTTCACTCCAGCCTGGGTGACAATATATATCAATATACATATGTATGTAGATAGATATTTGATATTTTGATATCTATATATATATAGAGAGAGATTTTGCTATTTAGAAATTGGCTAATATTTTCACTAAAAACCAAGAAGACACTGGTGTTTCAGGATGTCATCATTGAAGAATTAGGCTTTGCTGGAAGTTTTTTAGAGTCATTCGGTTGTAATATTTTGGAGAAATTTTAGTTTGGCATTTGTAAGAATCCACTGACATATTGTTTACTGAAGCAATGTTTGTCTTTTTCTGCAAGTAGTTTGAGTTTATCCTAGGACTTCTAGTCTATGAACATCTAACTCTTGTGTGTTGGTATGTGTGTATAGTACAGGTTTTTAAAGATATCCATGTCCTTTGTAATATATATAATTTATTATCTTGATATTTAATTTTTGTGGGATTGGTGAAAAGTTAAATTTTATCTTCAAAGTAACCCTAACCTCCCATATTTCGTAAATGCATGTAATTCATGTTCATTTCATGCAAGTTTTATTTACGGTTAACTATTTTCTCTTATATAATATTTCCTATTATGCTTTGCCTGTTAATTTAAGGATGCGTTGAGGTGCATTATTCCCTGTAGAAACTGCTTCTGACATGTTTGGAAATTTAATATACGTTTATTTTCTTTTATATTTATGACATTTTATTTCACCAACTATCACAGGTAAAAGTGGGCATCTAATGTATCAGGAGGTTAATGGCCTTAGACCTGGGTCTTGTAAGATGTCAGTCACACAGAGAGAAGCAGCATGCTAGAGCAAAGGAGGCCCTGAGCAAGTGCTCAGTGTAAGAAGCACGAATATGACTGAGACTGGAAAGAAAGTTTGGGGTCATGTTAGTTCTCTCAATGAAATTGAAAAGAAAATTCAGATATTGCTTCCTGAGAAATAGAGAGCCCTCTTTTGAGCATTTAAGTGACGTCATCAGAATTGTATTTAGGATACAATTCTGTATCTGGTAGTTTTGTCCAGAATAAATATGAGATATGTGGAAAAAAATTTAGGGTCGGTGTTTCTGTGTACTTCCTTATAAAATATAGTATTAGTTTGGACAGGTGAAGCTTGAATCCCAGTGAGACATTTTAATAGAAGTATTCGGCAGGCCTTTGGAATATTAAATCTCAGTAAATCATAAAGGTAGAGGGGCAGATGAAGGAGCCAGCCAGCCACATGGGGACAGAGTCAAAGCTCTCTGAGTAAATGGCAATTGAGTGAAATCGGAGAGGGTGTAGGTCAGAACTTGGAAATGATGTTCTGGGAGGAGGAAGATGGCTTTAAGGAATGACCATCAGAGAAGTAGGAAAATTAAAGTATGAAACAAATAAATATAAAATTGATTCATTTATGTCTGTGATAGAAGCTTCTCTGAAAGAATCACAGGGTTGATAAAATACACTTGATTTAATAAATAGAAAAAGTAAACCTATATAAGGGTGACCTGGATTAGTCAAGATTACGTGTTCAATCAATTCAAGAGAAAATTTCAAATATCCAGTGTTTTTGCAGAAATGTTTAAATTTCATGTTAGAGGGTATATTATTCTGTCTTCCTTTTGGGAAAAATTGTATTAAATGATTTTTGATTGTTAAGAGGTGTATTTGAATAAAAAAATTAATATAACATAATAGGTTCCTCTCCCACATTTTGATTCAATTACAGTGATGCATGCACCTTTAAGTTGTAATCTTAGAGAAAGAGAAGACTTTTTAGGTCACAATGTGTGTGAAAAAGTATTCTTTGTAAATCAGTGTAAAGAAGTTGACAGATATTTCTAAATAATTGGGGGAAAACATCAATGAACTGTAAATGAAAGGCAGCCTTGGAAAACACGATTTGAAAATATTCAAACAGCTACAAAATTATCTTTTTCATCTGAAAATACTTTTTTGGTGCTTTGAGTTTAAAAATCCCCATTTTCTAAAAGAGATAGATGAATAACAAAATACTATAAAGTCATAACTTAAAAACTATGTGTGAAATACAGCATGATAAGTAAAAATTAAAGTCAGTTTCATGTTTCCAAAAATTGCAAGTTATTCTTCTCACTGTCTTTCCCCTTTTTCTACCTTTTGTCAAATGGGTTTGGGCCATAAATATTACCTTGAATGAATAAGGGTTTTAATTAAAATAAACTGATGGCAAGTACAGTTATTCTATTAGAGAAACCAAAGTTGAAGACTGAGAAATATCTATCACCCCAGATTTCATGTAAGTCAATTTGTAAGGTTGAAATTTTGTTCCTTTCATAAAAGACTGCCGTGAAATTTGGAAAGGTGTAATCTATAAAACAGCAAACTAAGACGAGGGTGAATCTGAGTGTAAAACAGGTATCATGTTATAATTAACTCCAGTAAAGATGTTAGGCTTTTCAACAATTGTTTGTTTTTTTTTGTGATTTGAATCACTACTGAGGTTGAAATTGTATTATAAACTCCAATAATCCTATACTTTTATCAGAAAACATGGATCAGCTCCATGAAGAAGAGGAGATTCTATAAAGAGAGATAGATGTAGACTCTTAGCTTAAATAATACATACATTGGGGAATCAGATACGTAAATCTCAACAAGGAAGGTTGTACATGTTAATACTAAACTAGATGCATTGACCGAGCACATATGAGGCATCTAATAAATAGGTGACAAGGATGAGAGGATAGGGATAATTGATGATGATGATGATGATGATGATGATGATGATGATTTTCTTGTGTTTCTAAGTCAATTCTCACATCATAAGTGGGGGTGTCGAATCTTACTCATATATACGAGCTTTCTGGCTATATCTTTTCTGGTTGGAGGCTGGCTGCATCTTCACTCTACCTCCTTCTTGAACATTATCTTCTAAATCTACTCTTGTTTGGCCACCTTTAAAAGTCATCTGGTAAGGGGTTAATATCCAGAATATATAAGGAACTCACACAACTCAATAGCAAGGAAACAAATAGCCTGATTAGAAAATAGGCAAAGGACCTGAATAGAAATTTCTCAAAAGAAGACATACGTATGGCTAAGAGATAAATTTTTAAAATGATCATCACTAATCATCAGGGAAATTCAAAATTAACCACATTATACTCTCATATGATCTCATACGACCACCATTCTCATAACTTCCACCCAGCGATTACTTATTGTGAGGCACTCCCAAGTTTAAAACCTTTCCATACCTATGTCATGCTATTTAATCTTCATAACAATCTTACATATACTATTAAAAAATTTTTAGGCAACAAAATAAAAAAGTAGATGGCTTTAGTAATGTGGCCAAGGTCATAGAGTAAGTAGCATACCTGGGAATATGAACTATACTGTATTGACTTCAGAACCCAAGCTTTATTTACCTCTCTTTACCTACCTAAATTCTTCCCTTCCTCATTCCCTTCCTCCCTCCCTCTCTTCCTTCCTTTCTCCCCGCTTTCTTCCTCCGTGTCTCTCTCTTTGTTCTTTCCTTCCTCCTTCCCTCCCTTTATTCTTCCCTTTATGCCTTCCTTCCTTCTTTTTTCCTTCCTTCCTTCCTGTATTTAGCTGTAGAATTTTGTTCTTTTTTAATTAAAATATGTATATATGTGCAGTGAAATACACAACTTTGACATGTAATTCATAACTATACATCCTTGTAATTCACATCACAATCAAAATGTTGCTATTTCCTAAAGCCCACTTCAGGCAGGTCTCACCCTGCCAATCCCAAGCAATTACAATTCAAACACTTCAGACTTACAAAACCATAGATCAATTTTGCCTACTCTTGGCCTTTGTAAAAATGCAGTCATAGTGTATATTCTTGCATTTTTTATCTTAGGAAAATATATTTCATCCACGTTTGATCATTCAGCAATGCAGTACTTATTACTGATGAGTAGTATTTTATTGTAAGAATATATCAAAATTTATTAATAAATAAAGATACTATATTCTTTTTCTTCAGACATATAAATTCATTACTCTTGGGTGAATACATAGGAGATAAATTTCTTGGTCATAGAGTAGGCATAGTTTTAACTTTGTAAGAAATGATGAGTTTTTTTAAGTGGATGTATTTGGTACAATACTACCAGCAGCGTGTAAAGAGATCCCATTGCTCTACAACCTTGCCAACACTTAGTATTATTAGTCTGTTTAGGTTTTTAAAGAAGTGTGTGTGGGATTTCTTTGTGGTTGTCAGAGATATTCACATTTCCCTGATGGCAAATGATGTTGAGCACTCTTTTATGTGCTTACTGGCCATTTACATATCTTTTCCTGTGAATTGCATTTTTAAATTTTTGTTCATTATTATTGGATTTTGTGTCTTTCCTACTGTAATTTGTAGGAATTGTTTATATATTCTTGATACAAATCCTTTCTCAGATATATATGTTGTGAATATATTTAGTGAGTCTACGTTATGTCTATTCATTTATCTAATAATGTTTGTTTTTGAGCAGAGGTTTTAATAAAGTCCAATTTCATGTTTAACTTTTATAGACAGTGCTTTCTGTGTTCTGAGAAAACTTTGACTACCTGAAATTTGTAAATATTTTCTACCGTGTTCTCTCCTAGAAGCTTTATAGCTGTATCTTTTATGTAGAGGCCTATCAACCATTTCAATTTAGTTGATGTGCATGGTTTGAGGGTGATTGATGTGTACTTTTTCCATACTCAACTCCATTTGTTTAAAAGACTTTTCTTTCTCCATTGAATTGCTTTGGCAACTTTGTTGAAAATCAGTTTTTGTTACAAGTTGGGGTCTTTTTCTGGATTCGGTTCAATTGACCTATATGTCTTTCATTATACCAATATAATACTCTCTTGATAGTAGTAGATTCTAAAATCAAGTTTTACAGTTGAAATTGAAGTCAAGTACTATAAGATATCCAAATATTTTTTCAAGACTGTTTGAACTGTTCTAGGTTCTTTTTAGTTCCATATAAAAATGTTGATTTCTGCAGAATCACACACACCCACACACACCAGTTAGAATTTGATCAGTATTCCATTGACTCCATTGGTCAATTTGTGGGAACATTAACATTTGTAATGATATTTTGTCATCCAATACATTGACATATTACATTTATCCATGTAATTAGGCTTCAATAATTCCTTTCAGAAATATTTTATAGTTTTCAATGAACAGATCCTGCTTATATTTGTTGAAATTTTGTTCTGAGTATATAAAATTTTTAATGTTGTAATAAATGGTATTAAGTTTAAATATTCTTGCTCACTTTTAGTTACCAATATATAGAAATACAATTGACTTTGGCATACTGATGGTATATTTTATAGCACTGTTAAGTTCACTTTTGTTTCTAATTGTAGTGTTGGGAATTATGTAAAATTTTTTCTGTAAATTATCTTGTCTACAAATGAAATAGTTTTTTTCAATCTTAGTATTATGTATTTTATTCTTCTTTAGTCATGCTGGGTGAGGCCTGACTACAATATTGAATAGGAATGACAAGAGAAGATATCTTTATCTTATTTCCAATCTAAAAGGAAATTTTAGTCTTTTCTATTCAGTATGATATTCATATTTACAGTAGAATTTTCATAGGAATGCATCACTGTGAAGAAAATTCCTTATATAACTAGTGAACGGAAAGTATTTATCATGAATGTGTTTTAAATTTTGTCAAATTATCTTTCTGTATCTATTAAAATAATCTTTTTATTTGCTCATTTTCTCATCTGTAATATTATGAATTATATTAATTCACAATAAATATTTAAATCATCCTACATTCTTAGGATAAATCCCACTTGATCAAGATAACTTCTTATTTATTGCTAGGGCCGTTTTGTTAATATTTGGTAAGAATGTTTTGTAACTTCATTTTATTGTAAGACTTTTATCTAGTTGTATTATCACCATTCATTCTCCCTCCTAAAATGAGTGGCAAAGTCTTCTCCTTTTTTTTTCTGAAAGAGTTGGTCTAAAAGTTTGAAATAGTTTCCCAACAAAGCGACTTGTGCTTATACTTTTCATTATTGATAAGGTTTTAAATTACCAACTGAGCTTTCTTCCCAGATATAGCCGTTTAAATGGATCAGATATAGTTACTTAGATGTTCTATTGCTTTTTATGTAGGTTTTGGTAGTTTTTATTTTTCAAGGAATTTTTCCATTTCACCTAATTTGATTCATTTATGTACATGAAAGTCTTTATAATATCTCCTATTATTTCTTTAATGTGCTCTATATTATTGTCTTTGCTTTTATTCTAGAAAGCGGTAATTTTGGTTTTCTCTTTTTTCTTCTGTGTTACTTTCTACGGGAGTTTTTATCAATTTTATTGATAATTCAAATAAGATACTTCTGTTTTTGATACTTTTCCCTTTTTTTAATTATGTCTTTCAGGAATTTCTCTTAATTACTTATTTCTATATATTTATTTTGCAATTTAATTTACTCCCTTTTTTGCTAGCTTCTTAGAAAACATTGTTTATTAATCTTTTTTCTCTATTAAATACAATTTTAAGATCTGTATTTCTCTCAATTTTTAGCTTTCTATATCTATATCCTCAAATTATAAGATTTTAAATAAAAATATTCAGGGCCGAGTGCAGTGGCTCAGGCCTGTAATCCCAGCACTTTTGGAGGCCGAGGTGGGCGGATCACCTGAGGTCAGGAGTTTGAGACCAGCCTAGCTAACATGGCGAAACCCCGTTTCTACCAAAAATACAAAAAATTAGCTGGGCATGCTGGTGTGCGTCTGTACTCCTCACTACTCAGGATGCTGAGACAGGAGAATCGTTTGAACCTGGGAGGAGGAGGTTGCAGTGAGCTGAGATCATGCCATTGCATTCCAGCTTGGGCAACAAGAGCGAAAATCCGACTCAAAAAAAAAGAAAAATTATTCAGTTAAAAATATTTTGTATTTTCCCTTGTAATTTTTTGTATCTGTTTACAAATAATGTAATTAATGATATGCTTGGGCTAGTATCTTTTATTTTGATACGTATTTTTAAATTCGTCTAATTTTTTTTATTTATTTGACCCCCTTTTATTACTTTAGATTAAGTAAATAGCCTTAGTGACCTAATCTATTTCCTCTTTTAGGTTTTTGGCTATATTTATTTGATTTCTCTAGGAATTAGAATATGCAAGTTTAATGTACCCTAGTCTACCTTGAATTAACATTGTATGGGTCTGTATGTATTTTACGAACCTTCCAATAGTATAGTTTTACACCTTTCTAAACTTCATATATTATTGCATACATATTGTTTCTTATGTTGATTAAACCCACAAATTCTATTACTTTTGTTTAAAGAAACAAATAGCTGTTAAAACTAACAAATGTAAAATATGATAAGTATTCATTCAAATATTTACTAAATGTGACATACTTTAATCCTTCATATAAATCCAAACCTCCATGTATTTCTCTTTGGACTAAAGAACTTTCCTCAGTATTTCTTATACTATATGCTGGCAACTCTCAGCTTTTCTCCTGGGTATGGATCATGGATTGCTGCTTCTCTCCATGTGTAGTAGTTTTTATTGTTTTCCATACATTCAGAGTACTGTGATGTTAAGAGTCAGGGTTTTATTGCCTTGCTTCAAGAGTGTTGGCTTTGGTTTTTGCAGGACGTTAGTCTCCTGCCAGATCAGATAGATCTTGTTGAGTCTTAGTTTGAAGCTTATTTAGGCCAAGCCTACAACTAGTGTAGCCTTAGACTTCATGTTTGGCTTTTCTGTGGTCTCAATTCTAAACTCTGGGTATTCAGTGGAGTGTCTCTCCACCTTCTGGTCTGAACTTACACTACCAGCAGTATCTGACTGTACCTCACAGTTCTCCAGTAGCTGTTCTCTGACAGCCTTTGCAGAGCACTGGCCCTGTGCATGTGCTACTTTATGTTTGGCTACAGACCTAATAGGGGACTTATGCAGAATTGTGAGGCTCTTTCTCTGTGCAGTTCCCTCCTGTGCAGTACCCTACCTGCCGCACTCCAAATTCCAGCCACCTGAGCAACACCAAATTCTCTTTCATTCAATCTATTGGTTGCTCTGTGTTTGGCGTTCACATTCTTACACTGTCATTTGGAAAGTACCTCAGGCAGAAAACCTTCATAAAAGTAGAATTCACCCCATTAGTTTTCATTTTTTAATATGTCACATTTATGTATTTTTTGTTGTCCATGACCAAAAATGTATATTACCCTCAGTTATAGTTCATTTTACAGCAGATGGTTGAATCCTGCACTACTTACTCCATGAAAACTAGAAAATAGAGCCTAAGCCCTTAACTACTATTTTAAAATTTCTTACTATATGAAATTAATTTACAGATTATTTTTAAAAGGAATGATTATGGACAGATTCTTGATTGTAAATTATACTCTGTATTGACATTGATGTACCATTACTTTAATTATATGGCAAGTGACAACACCGTGTCCAGAATATCATATAAGCAGAATCATATAGTAGGTAGCCTTTGAGACTGGCTACATTCAGCTACTACAGTGAGTTCTGAGATTCATCCATCTTGCATTCATCAGTAATCTTGTTCCCTTTCATGGGTGAATAGCAACCCACTGCATGGATTGACTATAAAGAGTTTCCTATTCATTTCACCAGTTGAAGAACATTTCTTTTCGCATCTTTTGGCTATTACAAATAAAGCCGCTATAAACATTTACAGAAAAGCTTTTGTATGGACATAAGTTTTCATATTAATTGAATAAATACCCAGGATATTTATTCTACAGAATGCTGGGTCACATAGGAGGTGGTTAATTTTCAAGAAATTGAAAAAATGTTTTTCAAATTATATCATTTTGCATTACCAAAATGATTGCCATATTGCAATAAATGTATGAGAATCCTTGTTGCTACACATACCTGTTAATACTTGGCCTTTGCAGAATTGTTGTTATTATTATTATTGACATTTTAAAAGGGCACTTAGTGGCAGTGCACTGTAGTTTTAATTTGCATTTTCCCTACATCTAACAGCGATTTCATATGTTTATGTGACATCTATGTTTTAGATGATAGATATCTTTGTTGGAATATTTTTCTCATTTATTAAAATTGGGCTTTTGCTTTATTATTGAGTTTTGACATTTGCCTACCTATTCTACATACAAGTTCTTTGTCATATATGTGATTTTTCAAATATTTTTTTAAAGGGATCAGCTGGACTTTTTATTTTCTTCTCAGTTTTCTTCAAGAATCAGAGCATCCCTAACAATCTTAAAGTTTGATTTAACAATTTTTTCACATTTAATTTTATGGTTCATGATTTTGGTACTGTATCTAAAAAAATTTATGTAAGATAAGATCGCAGCAATGTTTTTATATATTTTCTTCTAGAATGTTTCTAGTTGTAAGTTTCCATCTTTCCTTGGAGGTACCTTTCTTTCCTTAGATTTTTGGGTAGTTGCTTGCCTTGCAATTCCAACTCTTAGATGGTCACAAAAAAGTTTGTGACTTTTAGATTACATAGGAGTTTTAGTAATGTTGTGTCGGTGAGAATGACATATTTCTACCTTTCTCTCTCCCAAATGAAGCTCACAAATAAATATATACATAAATATATTCCTACTGATATTATGACATTATCATTAAAAAACTTCCAAATAAGTGGAGAGTTTTTAGTCTACATAATAATTTAACATGTTTCTCAGAAATTCTACAATATCACAAAATTACGCGTAATGTCTGGTGGTTGTAATAACTAGAATATATTATAATTGGCTACAGAAAAATGTCAATATTGTTGATATATGCACATCACCATCTAGAAAAAATAGTGTTCTAAATATATAATAGAAAAGATAGTACTCTATAGATTGTTGATCCAGTTTTTAGAGATATGTATGTCTTGACTTGATACCACTAAAATTGATGAAAACATTTATTAAAATAAATATTTTAAGATTTGGCTCCTGAATGTAGCTGAATTGCACTTAATTCTACTACTTTGATCTTCTAAAGACAACTGATAATGATGAGGATAATCTTACCAACTCTTTGCTAAAAAGGGACAAAGTTGGAAAATGCTTAATTATAGTCCTCTTAGAAAAGAATTCTACATCTCAGATCAATAATTCCCCTGTAATTTAACATAATTTCATGGGACCATGAATTTCAGTCGTTAATTAACCTTATGAACCTTGCATTAACTAGTTTGAAGATTTTATATAGATTGGAGAATTTTTGAGCTTACATTTTTTATTTAGAAACTGAGCCACCCATTACACTACCTAGAAATTATTGACATATGTATCAAACTGACAAATTTCATTCGGAGTTAAAAGTCTAAGTAACTGAATGACATTCTGTGTAATGCTATATGTTAATGGGAAATCACTGGGTGTCTGTAGGTGGACATGAGACATTTAGTTTGACCATTGGAATTTCATTATTTCCAAAGATTTCTCTTTGTGAAAACTGAAATATCTCTTCTCTGGAATTCTATTCTACTTTTATATGCAGATGAAAAGCAAAAAGAAATGGCATTCATGTGTGGCAGACAGAGTCTGAGTAAAAGTTGAATACATTCATTCTTACATATATCACATCCATTGTCCACTGGGATTTTTCTGTCATCTTTGTTACGTGTATGTTGCTAAATTGTGATTTATCACATATTCTTTTGGTTTTTATTTTCTTTAAATGTCTTTCCTTAGACTCCATTTAAGCTTACAAGGACATTTTTGGCTGTACTTTTTAGATCACTTTTGAAAAATTTGTAGGGTCAATATACATTTGGTTAATCACCGTATTTATTTTAACCCAGAGATGTGAATGAAACCATTCTGTTCTCCATATCCTGAAACCTAAATAAGAATGAAAAACTTTTTAAAGTTTTCTAGATGTTATACATCATTGACTCTACTAAACATGTGCTTTGTGTATTACTGCTAGAAAATAATAGCAAAAATAATATACTAAAATTATATATATAGAGACAGAGGGATTACTCTATGTAACATAATGCATTGTTTATTTACTTTTTCATGTAATTCTCAGAAAAGCCTAGTGATATTGGTGTTATTATTTTTCCATTTTGTTGATGAAGAATTGAGGCCCAAAATTATAAAAGAACCTGTCTAATGTCACATATCAAGAAAGTGGTAGATCCAGAATTTGACTTTAGTGAGACAGTTTGAATAGTCTCCAGCAACATGCGCTACATTACCAGGCCATATTGTCATAGGTAGAGCATATAAACATGGAATATTTTAGGAGCTAACACAAAGCAGCCTTTTCCATCGTCAACAGCATGTCTCTTCATTCCCTATCTTGTGCCTCATCTTCAGAGTATGTTGAATTCTTTGTTGATCTCTAGTTTACTGTTGGCTCTTGAGTTGATGTCACTGCATCTGTTGCTTCTTCTCCACTTCTTACTTTCTTAAATTTTACCTGAGGCATCATTATATGTCATGGTAATTGTCTCAGGAGCTACATCCTTCAGAGGACTTTCCTAGGCTGTTTTCACCAACCGTAATTGAGTAGCTACTCTCATGTCTGCCCCAGATTAGTTTATGCAAATCTCCATCACACTTGTATATGTACTACAATTGTTTGTTCATTTTCTTGTTTGAAGAATGAAAAAATTAAAGCCATAGTCTGTTATTTATGTCTTGCATCTAGCTCCTAGTTCGTACTTAATAAGTTTTTATTACATTGATTAATTAATGATGCTTGGTAAAATAAAACACTAAATTTTGATATCTACCTGTCACAGTCTTGAGCCTTGAAGCTTAAAGAAGCTTCCACCTATTACATTGCCCAGTAAAATATGATGCATTATTTCTTCACCTAATGGAGAGAAGATTAGAAAAGCCAATTATTATCTCCTTTCTTCTGGCTGAATATGTTATTAAAGTAGTTGGGGCTTTTAGACAGAAACTCAGAATGCGAATCATAGAGTAAAATTTCTGTTTTTGGTAAGTGGAAGAAGCCCAGCAAAGATAGAGTTGACTTGAATTTTCATGAGAAAACAACTTTGATAAATAATTCTCCTGTACCCAAGTTTTCTTTAAATCCTAAAGAGAGGAATAGAAAAGTGTGCACACAAATAGTCCTCTAACTCCACTGTAAGAAAGTTGTACCAAAGTAAAAGAATACATATATATATATGTTTCCGAATAAAGAATAAGAACTTTTTATTTTTTTGTCTTCTAAAATTTAAAATACATATTAATGTAATTTATTAGTAAAACAACTAGTACCCAGAATGGTGAAAACTATCTTGAAAGAGTATAGACAGCTAAGATATTTCAATTTTAGGGATTACTTCAAAGCTAAAGTGTTCAAGAGTATGGTACCAGCATAAAAGTGCACAAATAAATTTGGCAATCTAGGGTCAATTGATTTTTTCTTTTTAAAAATTTATGAATGACACATAATCATAAATATTTATGCACTACTACATGTATAAATCCTGTATTGATGAAGTCAAGGTAATTAGCATATCTATCACCTTAAAAATTTATCATTTCTTTGCAGTAAGAATATTAAAAACCCCTCTTCTAGCTATTTTGAAATGTACAATACATTATTGTTAACTCTCTTTAACCTACTAGGCAATAGATACCTAGAACTTATTTCTCCTAACTGTAGCTTTGTGCCTATTTAATAATTTCCCTGACTCTCCCCATTTTCTGGTAACCGCTATTTTACTCTGTACTTTTGTGATAAAAACTTTTTAGATTCCACACATGAGTGATATCTTTCTGTGCCTGGCTTATTTTACTTAATGTCCTCCAAGTTCATCCATGTTGCTGCAAACAACAGGATTTCATTTTTTATAGCTGAATATTATTTCATGGTACATATTTACAATACTTTCTTTATCCATTCATCCACTGATGGATTTTTAGGGTGATTCCATATTTTAGCTATGGTGAATACTGTTACTATATAAGTAGGAGTGCAGATATCTCTTCAACATACTGATTTCTTTTCCTTTGAAAATATATGCAGTAGTGGTATGGTTGGTTCATATGGTAGTTCTACTGGTAGCTTATGAGGGAACCTCCATACTGTTTTTCAAAAGAATTGTACTAATTTACATTTACATTCCCACCAGCAGTGTATTTGTTCACTATTCTCCACATTCTTATTGACACTGGGTGTCTTTTAATTTTTATATACTAGCCACTCATACTTGAGTGAGGTGACATCTCATTGAAGTTTTTATTTGCATTTTTGTAATGATGAGTGATGTTGAGCATTTTTTTCATATTTGTTGGCCATTTGAATGTCTTCTTTTGAGAAATGTCTATTCAGGTTTTTGACCCATTTTTAAATGAGGTCATTATTTTGTTGTTATTGAGTTGTTTGAGTTTCTTATATATTTTGGATATTAGCCCCTTATAAGATGTGCAGTTGTCAAATATATTCTCCTATTCTGTAGGTTTTCTCTTTGCTCTGTGCATTATTTTCTTGCTGTGCAGAAGCTTTTTAGTTTTTCTAACCTCATGTGTCTATATTTTCTTTTGTTGCCTATGTACCTCTGGTTTCATACAAAAGATCCTTGCCTAGACCAATGTTATGGAAATTTCCCTCTATGTTTCCTTCTTGTAGTTTTGTAGTTTTGAGTCTTACGTTTAAGGCTTTTATCCATTTTGAGTTATTTTTATATGATAAAAGATAAGGTTTAATTTTGTTCTTAATACAGTTTGGCTCTGTGTCACCACCCAAACCTCATCTCAAGTTGTAATCCCCATATGTCAAGGGAGGGACCTGGTGGGAGGTGACTGGGTCATGGAGGCAGCTTCCTCCATGCTGTTCTCGTGATAATGCTGGAGTTCTCACAAGATCTGCTGTTTAAAACTGTCTGGTGGTTCGCCACTCACTCACTCTCCTGCCTTATGAAGAAGGTGCCTGCTTTTCCTTCATGTTCTGGTATGACTGTAAGTTTACAGAGGCCTCCCCAGCTATGCACAACTGTAAGTCAATTAAACCTCTTTTTCTTTTCTTTTTATTTTTTTTAATTATCTAGTCTCAGGTAGTTCATTATAGCAGGGTGGAAATGGACTAATACAGTTCTTCTATATATGTATATGCAGTTTTCCTAGCACCATTTATTGAAGGGGTTGTCTTTTCCCCATTGTGTGCAGTTGATGCCTTTGCCAATATCAGTTGGCTATAAATGTGTGAGTTTATTTCTGGCCTTTCTATACAAAGCTATCATGACCAAAATAGCATGTTACTGGCATAAAAATAGACACATAGACCAATGGTCAGTTGAGTTTTGACAAGAGTATAAGGATTATCTGATGGGAAAGTCATAGTCTCTTCAACATAAAGCTGTAGGATAAGTGGATATTTACATGTAAAATGAGTTTTGACCATTGCCTGCACTATATTGAACAATTGTCTCATAAAGGATCTAAGACCTAAGTATAACAACTAACACTACAAAATTATTTGAAGAAAATATAGGGGTATTAATTCATAACTTTGGATTTGACAATGGTTTCTTAGATACAATATCAAAAGCATAAACAACCAAAGAGAAATAACAGATAAATTATACTTCTTCATAATTAAAAAAATACTCATTAAAGGACAGTATCAAGAAAGTAAAAAAAAAATCCTACTATGTGAGAAAATATTTTCAATTAATATATCTGATAAAACTCTAACATCCAAAATAATTAAAGAATCCCTGTAATTAAAAACATGAAGACAACTGAGTTACAAAATGTACAAATAACGTGAATACACGTTTATCCAAAGAAGATATACGAATAGATATCAAGTACATACAGATGTTCAATATTGTTAGCCATCAAGAAAACACAAATAAAAACCACAATAAGATATCATTGCAGTCCCCTGGAATGACTGAAACACAAAAGACATAAAATAACAAGTACTGGTGAAAATGTGGAGTAATTGGAACACTCACACATTATTGGTTGAAATGTAAAATAGGACAGCCCCATGGAAAACATTTTCACAGTCATCCAAAAGATAAGAAGAAGTAAAATATGGCTTATCAATTCTACTCCTAACTTTACAGCCAAAGAATTGGTAACAAGTGGTCAAACAAAAACTTGTACACAAATGGTCATAACAGTACTATTTACATTGACCAAAATGTAGAAAAAACTAAAATGTCCATCAGTGGATGGATAGATAAAATATGGTAAATCCATATAATGGAGTATTATTAAGCTATGAAAGGATTGAAATACTATTACATAATATGGCATTTCAACATGAATGAATCTTGAAAACATCATGCTAAGTGAAAGTCTGACCAAAAAGGTCATTTATTATATAAGCCCATTTGTATGAAATATCCATTATAGTCAAAGCCGTGGAGATGGAGAGCAGGTTAGAGGTTACCAGTGGCCGAGGGTAGGGAGACATGGGGAGTGATGGATTAAAAGATACAAGATATCCTTTTGGAATGCTGAAGAATTTCCGGAACTTGATAGTAATAATGGTTGCAGAACATCGTTGATGTACTACCTGCCACTTAATTGTACACTTTAAAATTATTCTAGGGTAAATTTTATGTTACATGTATTTCAATGCAATAAAAAATTAACCAGCTAATACAAAGCTAAATTAATTTAAGAGATTAATAATTAAATTTTATAATACACTGAAAAAGTAAGAGTATTCCACACTCACATACTGAGAAGTAAAAGATTTTCTCAATTATATGTCAACAGAGATCTTGCATCTTCAATTCTTATTCATGGGTCAAAAGTCAACAGCTACACAAAAATTCACAGTATTTATCTCAAAGAATAGTTCTCCTTTCCAAAGGGCATACAAATTTACTTCTCATAAATAGTAGGTAAAAAAATAAAAATAAATAGCTAACAAACCAGAATTTCTGTTTTACTTCACCGAAGAGGAATAAATCCTATAGTCCCTCTAAAATACATCATCAAATTCTCAGACCATTAAGCTAGATTCCCAATTACTGCAAATGAAGACTCAGCAAAAATAAAGCTGCCGGGCTACTTGGGAATCACTGCCCAAACCAAGAATCCTGTTTCTATTTAAATAGCCTGTGAAGTACACCTCTTAGTCAATGTAGCTTAATGAGATCTGACAGCTGAATCCAATCGGGGATAATGGGGGAACCTGAAGAACTTTTGAAAATATATTTAAAAAAATTAAAAACCTGACTGTCATATAGATATAAAAATAAACATGTCAAAGAGTTCTTATCTCATTAGTACTATAATGTTTAGATGGCAATGCTAGTTCAAAGAGCATTTTGTAAAACAGGGTTTTTAACACTGCACTAGTAAAGACATCTTGAAATAGGTTTGCTGAGTTAGAGACCAAACTCATTAATATCTTACAGGGCAATAAACTGTAAACCTTGGGGCCACTTTTTTTCCACCAGACAGAAATCGGTAATATAATATGTGTCTTTGTAGAGTCTTAGCACTTAATTGTTATTAAGCAAAGTCAAATAGAGGGTTGTTATTTAAATAATTAAATTATGTTCAACTTAAACTGACACATAACACCCAGTATGACATTGAAATGACCCACCTTTTCGCCTTTTTTCCTAGTTTAATTTTTTTGATATTATGTAATTATATACACATTGAAAAAATTAAATTATATATATATAACTAAAGACAACTGGTAAACAGGAAATGATTTGCAACAACCAAAAATTTAATATGCTTTAAAAAATACTGTATGTGCTATTTGACTCAAATATTATATACTTATGTGACAATTACTTATGTATTTGTAAGAAAGCATAAATACTCTATTAGAGAAATAGGAAGGTTTACAAAGAAATCACAGATAACTCTCAAAAACATGGCTAATATGCACAAGTAGGGGAAAAAAACTAAACTCACTGGTAATGAAGAAAATGCTTATTTATAGTATAATCACATACATTTGTTTACTTTTCAAAGAAATTTTTAGTGATAGCTTTCTCATTGTGATAATACCAGCACTCAAAAAGTACTAATGGGAATACAAATTGCTTCAATCTTTCTAGAAACAATTTTATGGGTATCTTAGCAGCTTTAAAAACTTTCAAAGACTGCTGTGTAACAGATTGATTTCTGGAAATATGGCCTAAGAATACAGTGAATAATTTAGTATTAATTCTAAAAGTCAAACTTTGAAAATAACATACAATTAGGTAAATGTGATGTAATGTTAGTGCTTTCATTAAAAATAAAATGATCAGTTAATTTTTAATTGTGTGAGAAAATGATCATGATAAGTTAAAAAGAAATTCCATAATATCTGGTATATTGTTAGATATAAACTACTGCTGTCATTTAAACTCGGGTACAACCTCAGAACACTCTTCAACACGCTTTAGAAAAGAGCTGTCAAACAGCTGGAGTTTTGTGAGAAGGGAACTTCTTTGTCCCAGCTGAGTTATCTATGTCATTTTAAATATACTCTGCACGCATTCGCTAATTAGAATTGTAATTGGAGGTCAGAGAATGAATGGTGAGTTTGTTTGTAACTATGCTAGTTGGACAAGGCTTAATGAAAAGTGATTTTTAAACCAGATCTTAGCCAGATGTCTAAAATGTTAAATGGGAATATGATTAGAAAAATATGCTATAGACAAAGTCACTTCAAGGAATTAGCAGAGCACTTTGGTATCCCATAGATAGAATACCATGCAAGGAAGCAAAGGATTCATTATAGAAAACTAAAAGACTTGTGCATAAGCTTTAATATGGGAAGCCAATTTGAGGACTGTAGAGAAAAAAAACAAAATACATTGACTGCATTAGCATAAAACTAAGCCTCAAATGCTAAATAAATAGTTCCTATTAGTAATAATTTATCCTGATAATAAATCTTTCTTTTAGATACACATACATTATTATACAAAACCAAAAACATATGTGTTTCCTACAGCGAATGTTGTATTCTAATCATAGGATGTCTCCTTTTTTACATAAAATTGTCAGCAATGGTAGGAATTTCATATGTAAGTAATACAAACCCCTGAAGGTTGCAGTATAAGCCTCTCTCCACTCTTTACTGATATTGATAGAGAACCTGTGAGCTATTTGTTTCTCGTACACTAACAAATCCCATATCTCAAAGTATTAAGTGTGGAGACATAGAAACCACTTTCCCCTGGTTTCTGTACAACTATCCACTATTCTTGGGATAGTCAGGACTTCTTTGTTTCCTCTCTTATAAATATCAATTTATCTAGGTCTGTTTTCTCTAATGGCAAGAATCATTTGTTTTATTTTTAACACATAAAAATCAACACTTTAGATAGGACCTATTTTTTCAGTAAATACTGTGAATACATACATTTTACCTCAATAATTCAATGATACTCTTCTGTCTATGGTTCCTCAGAGGTGGTAGAGTACTAAGAAGCTTCAGATTTCTGGATCCAGTTCGAAAGGCTCAGGAGTTATGCTGAGCGTATCAAAAAGACAGAGTAACTCTCCAGTAATCTCTTGTTCTTAGAATACAATATTTCAATACAAGGAGGAAATAAGTCCCAAACAAACAGGTTGCTCCTCCCTTAAGAAATTGGGAATGTTTTTAATTTTGGAGGTTACAAGACTAAGACTAAGCTCTGAAGCCTCCAGAAGAATGAATGAAATGACACATATATTTTATGTGGAACAGCTGGAGATTTATTAGATTTTTAATAAAAAGCCTAGAAGGATCATGACCAAGGAACTGAATGAAACCAGGCAAAGTTGAGATTTAATAAGGCTGAGTCTTAGCCTTATTAAAGGCAAAAATCAACCCTTAAAAGAATCAATGTAATAAGTCTCTCACTCTATCTGTCCAATATAAAAGAGGGAAAATTTGATGGAAGATATCATCTGGAGGCACCTTTCATAGACTTTTATAGAAAATGCCCAACATAGAATTAAATAATGCTAGACATACAAAGTGGCAGGAATACATGATCAAAAATCAACAGAAAAGCAGACAACAGAAAAAACATACAGATGATCTCAGCATTAAACAGACATGATCTTTAATGAATATTCTATTAGTGAAAATAGTAAAGATGTACACAACAATTTCAACAGTAACTTAGGACCAAATATGCACTCTAGTATTAAAAAAAATTCCAAATTAAGGAAAACACATTGATTGGTTTGAGTAACAAGGTGCAGAAAATAACAGGATCAATCTATAGATGGGACAAAGGGAAATAAAGTAAGAAGACAGGCTTAAACTTAACAATATCAAAAGCAATATTAAATGTAAATTGAATTAAAGCTCCAATTAGAAGACAAAGATTATCTGTATGAATAAAGGGAAACCCATCTACGTACGGAATAAAAAGTTTAAATCTAAAGGCATGGATAATTTGAAAACAAAAAAGATAAACTAGATATATGTGCACATCCACCAAATATAGATTAGTAAACCTATACTAAAATAAGACAAGTCTATTTTTTGTGTGTTTGTGTGAGATAATGTCTTGCTCTGTCACCCAGGCTGGAATTCAGTGGCATGGCCACAGCTCATGCAGCCTCAACCTCCTGGACTCAAGCCATCCTCCCACCTCAGCCTCCTGAGTATCTGAGATCAAAAGCTGTGTACCACCACCCTTGGCGAACTTTTCAAATGTTTTGTAGAGGTGGGGTTCCACTATATTACCTAGGCTGGTCTCAAAATCTTAGACCCAAGCAATCTGCCTGCCTTGGACTCCAAAGTGCTTGGATTGCAGGCATTGGCCACGAGGCTCAGCAGATGAATCTACTTTAGCATAAAATAATATCACTAGAAATAAGGAGAGACATCTTATTGATAAAATGGCCCAATTCACAAGAAAGATTAAGAAATCTTAAATTTACATATGCCTAATAACACCTTATATAAAACAAAAGTTGAAAGAAATGAAAGGAAATATCCAATAAGCAACAAAATAAGTTTTAAACAAGAACAAATTCTACAAAAGTTTCTTAGGTCAATTGAAATTTTTTTAATGTAAACTAGTTTAATTCAGAGTCTGCCACTTGCTTTGTAAAGTAGCAGTGGACATTGGTTGATGGCACTGCCTATGGCTGCTGTTGTGCCATTGCAGTAGAGTAGTTATGATAGAGACCATATGGCCCAGAAATCCTAAACTATTTATTATCTGGCCTTCTGCAGAAAAAGCTTGCTGACTCATGTTCGATCACTGTATCTCTGCAATGTTCAAAATCTTGAATTTGAGAATTATAACATGGTTATGTAAGAGAATATTGTTGTCTTTTTTGTAATAACCCACAAGGGTTTAACGTGAAGGAACACTGTACACCCCAAGTACTCTCAAATGGCTCATGAAAAGTGATTTTTATTTATATATATATGAAAAGAGTGTTGAGAAATTACAAGGTAAGAATCGAGAGCACATACGGATAATGACATTTTTCTAAGTAGGAAATGAACATTTGTTGAACGAGAAACATTAGATATTCTCATCTCTTGCATTCTCTTACAGAGGACGTGTAGTAATATGCTGAGAAAGTTGCGACAGAGGAAAGTGGATGGAGAGTTTTGGAAAAGTGAAAAGGGCTCAGAATTAATTGAGCAGAATGGGAATCGTTTCCAGCAATTCTCAGCTGTGGGAAAAGGCGAAAAGAAATATGAGCTAGATAGTCATTTAAGATTGGTATTTTTTTAATCTATATCGACAAGAGAAGGAGAGAGCTGGTTAAAAGTATTTGAGGCTGGGCACAGTGGCTCACACTTGTAATCCCAGCACTTTGGAAGGCCGAGGCGGGCGGATCACGAGGTCAGGAGATCGAGAGCATCCTGGCTAACACGGTGAAACCCCGTCTCTACTAAAAATACAAAAAATTAGCCGGGCGTGGTGGCGGGCACCTGTAGTCCCAGCTACTCGGGAGGCTGAGGCAGGAGAATGGCGTGAACCCTGGAGGCGGAGCTTGCAGTGAGCTGAGATCGCGCCACTACACTCCAGCCTGGGTGACAGAGTGAGACTCCGTCTCAAAAAAAAAAAAAAAAAAAAGTATTTGAAAGAGAATGATTATAATGATTAACTAGAAAAACAAATATTGAAAGGTAGGAAATGTAGAGCCAGAAGAGCTAATAGGTGGGGAAAGGGGATGAAAGAATTGGAAGACCTAATATTTAAAATATTGCAGAAGGAACATTTGAGGAAGTGAAATGGAAGGATCAGGCAACTGAGAACAGAATATGCAGGCTTCAGTTTGTGATTCTGAAAGTGGTCTCCTTTCTCATGTTAGCATGTGACCATAGAAGTTGGCTGAGGAAGAGTGGAGTAAACAGTTTTAGGTGCGAGGTAAAATAAATGAGACACTAGGTGTTGAAAACACCAAGAATAGGGGTGCTGAGGAAGAGAGTGAGCTGGTTTATGAAATATTCATAGGTGTGTGTGTTTGTGAATAGGAGGCACAGTGGGAGGGATCAAGAGATAGTTACTGCCATAAATGAGGTTAGGAAGATGATAGAATAAATTGGTGATAAGATTTTTTTTTTGAAAGAAAGGGATTTTTGGCAGACAGACAAATGGTAATGTGAGTGTGGAGTGAAGATATCTAATCTACCCCTGACTCTAAGAAACAAATGTTTCTGATAATTAATAGCCTTTAAAGAGGGATACAGGCGGATCAGTATTCTTAAGGGTTAGTCTATTAAGGCAAAGAAGAAAACAATATTATGAATAATGTTTAGGTCATAAAAAGTTTTCTTTGATTTTTTTTTACATAGTAGATGTGCAGTCAACTTTTATTAAATTCCTTGTTTTGATAGTATGAAGAATATAGAAAGACTAAGTTTATTTCTTTTAACTAGAGCCAATATGGTTTGATAACTGGTTGGATATAAACTAAGCTGAAATCATTTGGTTAGATCAATGTTGTAGAAGGGGATTGATGTTGTTCGTTTAAATGCAAAATGGAGTGTAGGAAAAATAAGAAAAATAATTATCGTTTGAGGCACATTGAGGTTTAGATAATAAAAAAAAAGAACAGTATGGTTCTGACAAACTTAATTTATGTCTCCAAGACACCCAGATATACATACACATATTTCTTAGAAGTGTACTTATATTTATTACAATAAGATATAACCTCACAGGCCCCTCTATGTGTTTTGTATTGACACAAATATTCCTTGTTGTTCTCTCAGATTAAATGTTTTAAATTCAGAAGCAATGCCTTTTTGATGTATATTTGTATTAAGAGAATTTGACATGATCATGTTATTTCCGTTTACATAGCATGTAAGTTCTTAGTTTAGATTTTATCACTAGATGGTCTATAAATTGGAGGCCCCCAAACCTTTTAAAATTGCATGCAAAATGTGCATGTATATTCAATTTGAATTTTTGGATGATGATACTTTTCATCTGATTCTCAAAGTTCTATGATATAAAAAAATTAAGAATCACTACCTTAGTGGATACAAATATTGCTTAAAATTAGAATGACATGGAAAATTGAGGATAGTAGTGGAGAACGGAGCTAATAGTGACAGTTTTCACATTAGATATTTTTTAAGTATGTATAAAGCATCTTGACCTAAGGCCTAGCACATAATCATGAAACAAATACTAATATTATGTAAACTTATTATTTCATTTAATTAAAATGACTAATGAGGTATATATTTTGTGCCAATTATATAGAGTAGAAACTAAGTCTCATATGTAGTCTACTTTAAATGAGTATCTTGAATTCATTCATTTTTTTAAAATTCTAGAGCTAGTGATCAATCTCAAGAATGTGACTGAAACATTTTTTGTTCCATTATGGTAATGCACATCACCTAAGGTCTCAAATTTTATAGTTGTGATGAAGTATATAGATTAGCAGGGAAATAAATTTGTCTGATCTGAAATGCTATCAACCTCATTTCAGAAAGGATATGGTTATCAAATTAGAAAAAACACTTTTATTCACCCGGTAGTTTGATGACCTTCTTGTTTCATATGTACTTTCTCCCTCTCTCTTGTTTTCAGTTCTTCCCAAGTATGTAAGAGAGTAGGCCAGTGAAACCACCTTTCATATAAGTCCATTAAAAAAAAAAAAAACCCTATAGTTTAAAAGCACTGAAGAAAGGGTCAAGCTAATAGCACAAAAGTATAAGAACATAACTTCCTCGTTTGAAAGATGTCCAAAGTCAATTTTCCAAAAATTATTTTTCTCACCACAAGATAAGCAATAGTAATAGTAATGATTGTACTGCCATTTCTTAATATTTAGAAAGCTAGTATAAAAAATCTAAGTGCCATTAACACATCCTCAGAGATTTCCGATTTAAGGGCTTAGAAACAATACCACTAAAACAAAGTCAAAGTAATATCTTCTTTGAGTCATATTTCATATGGATATAAGATTAATTATAAAATTATATTTAGCCCAGTCCCTTAAAAATTTATTAATAGCAATATTTCTTCCTTTTAAAAGGTAGAATTTAGGAGTATTAGATAAAGGAATAAAAGCCTACCTTGAGGTTATAAACACTTAATCATTCTGATTCTCTCTTACTCTGCTGTTATATATATGACATTAACTAAATTTATATTACTACCTGTATTTGAACATGTGAGATAGTGAATATCATATTTTTCTCCTCTGTCATGTCAGAATACACAGACTATTTATATATATACGGATTCAAAATAGAACAATCCTATTATCATCCATACTATTATGTCATTATAATTGACAGTGATGGAAGATTCTGTATACAGTTTTCTGCTTATACTGTAAAAGTATATTTCATTATTTTTCCTCCTAATTCAAACTTAATCCCATTTGAACAAAATCCCACATTGTATGACTCAGAAATCTATATTTGACTCCTACCATTCAAAAAGATGGTGGCAAAATGAAAATGAATCTAGCAAAGCCCCTAAGCTGAGTAAGTTTTCTGTTTGGACTTGTCACATCTAGGCCAAGATCAAAATATTAGTGAACAAATAAGTCAGAGGATGACTTTTCACAGGGACTAGTTGTTAGTTTTCTCTAAGGACTAAATTAGAAAAAAAAAATGGAGCATGAAGCATGAGGATCCAGATTATAAATAAGAGTATTTTCTGAAAATTCAGTTATTAAATATCTAAATGGTTGTTAATGAGGCTGTGAATCTACTTTTTAGAGGCTGGAATTTGCTTTCATGTGTAGTCTATTTGAGATAATACACATGACTTTAACCTGCCCGAAGCTGTGCAGTCAAAGAAGCTATATCCATCACTGTGGTATGTTAACATATGTTACAGTCATGGATTCTTGGTGCATCTTCACTTTTTTGTTGTCATTAATAAAGCATATTCACAAATTATTTTTGTTGTGAAGAGATAGTAGATATTTATGGAGTCATCCAATCCAAATTCCCGCCACTGAATGCTGGTTATCTTTATTAGAAGTTGAAAAAAAATGTGTAATCTAGGGAAAAAAAGGTAGTGTCCTCTAAAGAGTTCAAAATGTCCCATTTTTGTGATAACCTGAAATGCAGTATATTTTAGCTTTTAAATAGCTGGCTATTGCTATCTGTAGTTGCATTGTTTTAATGCAGCATATATATGAACAATAAATCACTTAATATTTGGCAAAGTTTGTAAATGCTATGTTTTATGAATTTTTTTAATCTAAATTCTCAAAGAAAACCAAAAGTAAACTCTACTTTTCCCCTTTCCCCCCTTGCTCCTCAGGGACCTATTGAGCTTCTTAATAAAGTGCTGGCACATAGCTTTTATCTCCGGCTCTGATTTCTAGGGAATTCAACCTAAGATGGTAATTAAGATTAAATTATATAGTAAGAGAAGTGGCACAATATCTTCCTATCACATTATTTTATTTTGCAGGGAAGTTTTCCCATTAAATTCCTAGACCAGGAACCAGAGCCATTTCTTTAACACATAAATTTATTCAGAGAGATACATGGCCTTGTAGGCATTTATAAAAGCAATTCCCATGCATTTTGTGGGCTGACCATTTAAAACTACCTTGTAGATTATTAAACATATTTCTCATGTTTCTGTGCGTGTTTTGAGTATATCACAAACACAAAGTCCAATATAGAGGTAGATCATAGAAGAATACCAGCCTCTTTTTATGAGGTCTTAATGAAGTGCTGCTACCATTATTAACCTAAGTGTTTGGTATGATACTTAGAAGCATATTCAGTTAGATACTAGAAAGATTATATCAAATCAATGGCAATTTCATTGGCAGAATATATACAGCTAGGTAAATAGCAATATAGAGAATATATAAGCCTATGAGATCTGTTATATTTCACAATATTTTATCTTCTTTTAATACTATTTTTCAACGTGAAATGAGTTTCGCTATAACTTTGAGTAGTTGGGCAGGATAATCCTAAAAACTCATCATCTCACAACATGGCTTCTCTGCATACTTTTTCCATTGAGGTCACTTTGCTTGTTGTAATTTGACTAAATTATTTGGATGGCTCAGTAAGGAGAAGCAGAACACATGGATGTTGTGACTATACACGGTTTTAAAATAAATGAAAATAACAAATGTTATATAATATACAGACATATAGGAGAAAAAGGTACACAAATTTATTTATGTGCACGTGGTCATAGAGGTCTCACAAATGTGACACTCAAAGAGGGGCCAGATGGCTGAAGCTTAAATACCTTACGGAGGAGGGGCGATATGTGGGACTGTAGGCAATTTTATGAGGGTAATAAGTAATTTTTAGGGAGAATGAATGAGCTAGCCAAACCAGACAATAGTTTGTAAATGATTATTTTGGGAAACTCGATGGGAGTGAAAAGTTATGGAAAGGTGAGTGTTGGAACTGCACTGTGAACAAAGGTAGTCTTATTAGGCAGATGAATTCCCATAGGTAATCTCTTCGTGCTGCCCTCAGAAGAGTAGATAAAAATTCTGTCTGGGCATGGCGATGACTTCTTTTGTCTGTCTCTCTCTCTGTCTCTTTTTCTTTTTTCTTTTTCTCTCTCTCTGGTGGTTAATCTTTCCTGGTTATTTGCTTACATTCCTAAAGGGGGGATTTTAAGACAATTACCTTTCTTTGGGAAAGAAGTTTCCTTCCTCAGATAAGGAGATTCCAGAGAACATTCCTCCCCTCACTTGGGGTTGTGAGTGGGTGAAGAAACAAGAGAAGATTAGGAAGTTAGGCAGCTTCTATGTCTTGCCAATTTACTTTAATTCAAGGTGCTCAGCATGCCAGAACACCATACTTCAGGGTATCATTCTCTGTATCCCAATACTTGTGTTGCTTTTTTCTTACCACTATCTTACTAGCAATTTAATAACTTTTACTTCATTGACTTTGCAATTATCCATGTATTAATTGATTACAATAAAAAGGTTACCCTTCAGTCAAGTTGAAAAGACAGATACATAAACAAATAATACAGAATGATACATGTGTTAGGAGCACTTTTGGTCTAGAAATAGCAGAAATGAGGAAGTGACTATTTCTGAGTAGAGTTGTAAAAATATAATTTGAACTGGCATTTGAAGTTCACCAGATAAAGAGGAAGGCATACTATGTAAAGGGGACAGGATTGCAAAAGCTGAAACTTATGAAGGAACATGACCCAATTAGCAATCTCTTCATGGTTGAACATTTTGAACTTTACGAGGATAAAAGTGAAAAAAGATAGAAGACAGTAATGGGGACATTGGCACATGTCATATTGAAAAAGTCAGTTGTGTCATTCTGGGAAATTTAGACTCTATTTAATATGTGAGAGGAAACCAGAAATAGTTATGTTATTAGTGGAGGATGTCCAGGTTCTTGGCATCTTGAACAAAGAATTGGACAAATAGCACAAACAAAGTGAGGAAGGAATGAAGAGATTTATTGAAAATGAAAGTACACTCCACAGTGTGGGAGCAGGTCTGAGCATAGGGGCCAAAAGGCCCCGTTACATAATTTGTGGGGGTTTAAATATTCTCTAGGGGTTTCCATTGGTTACTTGGTGTACACCCTATATAAATGAAGAAGATGAAGTAAACTTTCAAAGTTATTTACTCGGTGTCCACCCTATGGAGAGGATATTTCCTGTAATAGCTGAAGTGGGAATTGGCCTTCTGTTTCCTGCCTCCAGACCCTATTTTCCTGCCCCAGTTAAACAGAAGGCAGAGTGGTGGCGTAGAATTAAATCATCAAATTTGAATTTTTAGAATAATAGCCCCAGAGACAGTATAAAATACAAATTGGAAAGAAAAGAGATTATAATAAGGAAATAGTTCAGGATTTTTTAGAACAGTCCAAGTGAGAAGTGAGCACCTGAAACAAGCCAGTGGATATAGGAAACATGGAGAGAGCAGAGTCCAGTGATAAAAAAGATGTAGAATTATTAACAGTTGAGGTACTATTTGTTGTTGAAGCCATGGGAGAGAAATATATCAAGAGCCACTTACATTTTTCTTTGCAGAGCACATGGCACGGGACATAAATTAACAATCGCTTCAGTCATGCAATGAAACCCTGATATCGAATGTCTGCTCTGTTTCAGTCACCATGCTAAGCAATGAGAATGCAAAAATGAATGCTATAAGATCCCTAAGAAGCTGTGACGTGATGATTCAATGGAATCATTTAATCAGTTTCAGTTGAGGCTCAAGTAAATACACACCACATTCCAAAGTAAGATGTGAAACTGCCATACAGGACTTGCAAAAGAAGCATGACAAAATAATTTCTACTACTTTCAATGCCCACCCAGACTAAGGATACACATGTAAAGGAATTTTAGAGAATGTTTAGAGCGATCATTTCACATATGTGTCCCCTGCTCTCCCCCAAGGAAGAAGCAGGTCCACCTCTAGCACAGGCGGAGAAGCATCATGGCTTTATCTGGAGAAGGTGATATATGTCCCCTAGGACTTGGGAGACACTGTGAACAGTTTTTGACTCAGCCTGAGAGATTTAAAAGGTTTTGACACATTGGTCTGGCTTTCCTCAAAGAGTTTAGCAGACAAAGGATACTATGTTTACCCTGGATCTGTCTTCCATTTAAGTGGGCTGCCATTAGGGGTAAAGTAACTCCTACAGGGGTGGATCCTTGGATTCCCAGGGGCATGAAACCAGCCTTCAGCCACCAGCAGCAGTAGAAGGATTCCATTGCACAAAAGATCCTGCACGGTAGGGATCTCCAGCAGTTGGCTGTTGTCTTCACTGAATCAAGGGAAGAAGCATTCCAGGAAAGAAGAAACAGAGTTGCCTATCAGTGTCCGTAAGCTGGTGCAGTGCTAACACTAGCTCAGGACAGTATTCCTGGGGTAAGAATACTCCCTTTCCTTTTATGTTTCCCCTAAACCCTGACACATCTGACATGGCAGAGAAGGAAAAGGAAGAGTAGAAGTGCTGAGTGATCAAACAGAGAAAGGGAATATGCCTCCCTTTGACACATGAAGACAGCTAATGTCAGCAGGCCCCAGCCAAGGGAAAGGAGGGGCTGTTCGAAGCCTTTAGATTGTACAGTAGATTAAATACGTGAATTATTACAAAGAGAACTTTCCATTTTCTGAAAATATGCTGAAAACTCATTGGGTTTTGATCAGGTTTTATCAAAAGGGATAGGGAAGAAGTCATCCTACTGAGAGAGTAGGCAATGGAGGAATTCCAACTTGCAGTCTCATTTAGGCTTATGGGTTTACATTTCGTTTCCATACTGATTAGAAAACTTGCAGTTTGATGTTGGTTACTTAACCTAAATTTGACTGAGTCGAGAGACCTGGCTTTCGGCTCTGACCAGCATAACTATGGACACATGTTTTCAGCACCTTGTGTTCTGTATTCCTACATGTACATTAAAGATTCAACTCACTGATCCCTGATGTCTGATATTAAATTCTAAAATTCTGAATATCGAATGAATAATATTTCTTGGGTATATTTCACTTGTTTAAAAGATCATGAACGACCAAACCTAAGATAGGAAGTGAGTTTGCCAAAACTCTATGGAACAAATGAATGTAGGGTCACAATTTTTACTTTATGTAATGCCTAGACTAGAGTATTATAATCATAATTATCACTATTATTATTATGAGACCTATATTATGATTTTAATAATTTTGATAATAGTGTTTCTTATTTCAATGCCTGAGAAGCATGAATATAAAATTATAAGCAGTATAATTTTTTTGTGAAAAAAATTATATGTGGAAAAAAATGTATGAAGAAAGGGCACATTTGAGGTTGTCTAAATAAATGTTTAGGGAGCCTCCAAATGAACGTCACTTACCATAAGCTCGTATCTGGACTAAGTTTTGAAGGAGATTGTTATATACAATAACATGGTTAGGAAACTAAGTGAAGACTGTATTAAATCCTTATAGCACTAGAAAAATATAGTGTTAGCACACAGAGGTTTTCATTCTTTATAACCTAAACTTGTGTTCTGAAATCAAGTGCTATTTGGATTTGTCAAATGTTTCTTGTTAAACCCTATCTGAGTTTAAAACCAACGACTTGTACACAGCTTAGTAAGGTGAAATATTTATGGACCAACTGTCTCCTTAATAAGTGCAGCGTTAATAATAAACCTTAACAGTGCTAAAAGATTGTCAGATGTTGGATTCACTTGAAATTTCCAGTGAACTCCACAAAAGAGGTCAGAATATGCCTTCTGTTAAGTTCAATGCTTTATTTTCTTCTGTCAGATATTTGCAATACAATTTACTTCATTACCGTTTGAAAAAGCAAAAACAACAATAGCATAAGAAATAGTGTACTCAAAACTCTAGTTTAACATATGCAAATGAAACTTCAAGAAAACAAGTGAATAGTAAAATATTAGAATACATGTAACAGGGGATTTGAAAAAAAACAATACCCTGAGGAATTTTACACTGAAGCCTATTTCTAACAAATACCAGCAGGAGGGAAGGAGACCATTTGTCTGAATGTTTGCTTTTTGGAAATTTGTAGGTATGTTTGCTAAAAATAGTTCAGTTTTTCTTGTAAAACAACGTAAACATTTTTTACCTCTTTCAGACTTCTAAGATACTAGGGTGATGAAGTCTCTATGATTTTGAGCTGAGATAAAATATAAAATATTTTGTTGTGCATCTCTCGAGAGGCTATTACGATGCTCATTAGTTTTTACACTTAGTATCTAGGCTGCATTGGATATTGCCTGTGTTTCTTTTCTTGGTTAAGGTTGGATATTGAAAGAGTTTACCCAACACATCATAGCAGTAGTTTAAATGTATGTTATCCCAGACCTTTGGATTTTCTTGTTAAAGGTTTAAAACACAATATGCAAAAATGTATAAAACTTTAAAGTAGTATGTAGTGTAGTTAAACATTTTGCTTAATAATAATAAAAACCTAAATTTAAATGTCTCTGTGAGGATTGGGAAATCCATCAGAAGATCGGATGAGCACTACTTCATTTGCAAGTTTAGGGAGAGTGTGAGGAGTTGAATTGTTTGTCCATCTGAGGGATATTTGTGTGGGAGAAATGTGTGCCATATAACAGTCATTTCAGAAAGAGAGAGCTTTGTGCTCACATTTCAAAACTAGACACATTTTGCTGGATGATAAAGGAAGGAAATATTAGGTCATTTTCAAAGTGCAGTGAAATTTCTTGTAATTAAAATGGCAGCACTGAGCCTAGGACTAAGCTATAAAGAGGCTAACATATGCAAAAGTACATTTTATATTATTTTAATTTTAATTATTCTTTTTATCAATATTTTTGTACTCATTTAAAATAAAGGCCTTAATGAATTATTGCCACTGAGGAAAAGCTCTTCATGATGACACTTAGGTGATCAAAATATTTCACCAGAAAAATTAAGAAATTGTATACAAAATTTTGTATACAATTTCTTAGTTGTTATTAAGAAATTTCACTTAATTTGTTTTACTTAAATGTAACTTTGTTTATTTCTAATTCGACATTCACACTCATATATTTGAGTTTACATAGAAACTGAAAATAGTTTTTTATCATCTCCATCTAAGAGTTAACCCAAGTCATTTCTAATATAAAAATTTTTACATAGTACCCTACAGTTACAGTTCAAGATATAACAATTCAAATGTAAAATTTAATTGATATTTTAGTTTTTCAACCTGACACAGTCAAAACTGAGGTTATAACAAGCTGTTCACCAATATTATGAATTCAGAACAATATTTTCAAGTAAACTTAGAGTCATTCCCTACTAACCTCAGAAAGAGTCAATGGCTTAAAATTATGATGAACATAATTTATTCTACACACCAGGACACGTTTAAGTTTGAAAGGAGGTACCATACAGCAGTTAGCAACAGCCTCTTCCTGGAGGCTTGCAAGGAATTAATTTGTGCTTTCACTGACAACTCCAAGTTCAGTCATGTCATATTAATAGCTTGAAATCAGCCAACATTAAGTCATTCACCCCACAAAAATTTCCAAGTGCTACCAGTCAGGACTTTTACTTCTGAAGAGCCAGCCACACTTTTACCAGAACACTGGTGGTTATTCAGGACAATAGTGCAATGTGAGACTGTCTCAGGAAAAGTCCGTCATATAGTCACCCTGTATGGAATTTATATAACTCAGCTATCAAAATTTCATTTAAGGGTCGGGTGCAGTGGCTTACGCCTGTAATCCCAGCACTTCGGGAGGCCAAGGTGGGAAGATTCCTTGGGGTCAGGAGTTAGAGACCAGCCTGGGTAACATGGTAAAACACTGTCTCTACAAAAAATACAGAAATTAGCTGGGCATGGTGGCAGGCACCTGTAGTCCCAGCTACTCAGGAGGCTGAGGCAGGAGAATCGCTTGAACCTGGGAGGCAGAGTTTGCAGTGAGCCAAGATTGTGCCACTGAACTCCAGCATGGGCAACAGAATGAGACTCCATCTTAAAAATAAAATTACTTAGGGCATTGGTAAGTGAATGAAAGCATGCAATATATGAAAATTTGTCCAATGGCCCATGGGAATTAGGTCATCACCATATTTACGAAAAATGTACATGGAAAAGTTTAACTTTGGCTTTCCATGGTAAGATTTATAAAGAGAGATGTAAAGCTGAGATCGAGGCTTTTAACAGCAATTGTTCAGTTGTTTCTACAAAGCAAAAATGCCTTACAGTAGATATGAATCAGGATCTTCACTTGGACAGCTGAGGTTTTAGAAGCGGACAAGGAAGTAGAGGGTTTGCAGAGCAAGTCAGGATATAAAAACCCCAGTCAAGGAGGTTGATCTGTGTGTTTCATCTCCAGCAGAAAACCAGGAAAAAAATCTTTCTATATATTGGACAAGCATATAGGAAGTTAGAGGAAAAGCTGTCTTGTAAAAGGAACAGGAAACTCAGGTTTGTTCCAATACCTAAGTCAAAATTGTAATTCCAGAACCCACCTCCAGTGAAGCAGCATTCCTAAATATCTCCTGTTGGTCAAATGAGACATCTCCTTCAGAATATTTTATTTGTTCTTGATATTGCTGGGTATGAAACTATCTACAAGTCTTCATGGAGATAACTCTACTATTATATATTAAAGCTCACATTTAACAATTCATATGAATCAATCAAAAACAAAATGATTCTCATCTAAAGTTTTTAGGCTGAATTATAGATAATAGTAATAATGTAAAGAAATTTCTAAAGAACACGATTCACAGATCTTTTTAAGATTTCCTTTATTAGATAGTCAACTCCTATACATCATTTCCTTTTTTTTTTTAATTATACTTTAAGTTTTACGGTACATGTGCACAACGTGCAGGTTAGTTACATATGTATACATGTGCCATATTGGTGTGCGGCACCCATTAACTCATCATTTAACATTAGGTATATCTCCTAATGCTATCCCTCCCCGCTCCGCCCACCTCACAACAGGCCCCAGGGTGTGATGTTCCCCTTCCTGTGTCCTTGCGTTCTCACTGTTCAATTCCCACCTGTGAGTGAGAACATGTGGTGTTTGGTTTTTTGTCCTTGGGATAGTTTGCAGAGAATGATGGTTTCCAGCTTCATCCATGTCCCTACAAAGTACATGAGCTCATCATTTTTATGGCTGCATAGTATTCCATGGTGTATATGTGCCACATTTTCTTAATCCAGTCTATATCATTGTTGGACATTTGGGTTGGTTCCAAGTCTTTGCTATTGTAAATGTGAATGTATACTATACCGCAGTTTCATAAGAAATGATGTATAGAAATAGTGTTTATTGCGGCACTATTCCTATACATCATTTCTTATGAAAGTGTGGTATTGCATACATTCACATTTTTCCCATTTTAAGGAAGAAAGGTATAGGCTTCACACAACCCAATCTTAGCTGTTATAGCTCCCAGATATATTAAATCCCTTCAGGGAATAAGTAAAGGGATAATTGGAAATATTGTTTTATACTTATTTCTGTTTAGCCTGAAGCTTGGGCCATGTTGATTTAGATTTAGAAAAACTGAAGCCGTATCGGTTCATTTTAAAATGTAACTGGGATATTTCTCAGGACTATCACATTTCTCAAAATACGCTGAAAAAACCTTAAGTGTAAAATTTGTACATATCGTTTAGATTTAATTTTTTAATTAATTTTTTTTTTGAGACGGAGTTTTACTCTGTTACCCAGGCAGGAGTGCAGTGGCATGATCTCGGCTCACTGCAACCTCCGCCTCCCAGGTTCTAGTGATTCTCCTGCCTCAGCCTCCCTAGTAGCTGGGATTACAGACATGGGTCACCACAACCAGCTAATTTTTTATTATTCATAGAACACAGGGTTTCACCATGTTGGCCAGGCTGGTCTTGAACTCCTGACCTCAGGGGTTCCACTTGCCTCGGCCTCCCAAAGTGCCGGGATTATAGGCGTGAACCACCACACCTGGACTTGATTTTTATTTTAATAAGAAGTTAAGGTGTTCCATGAAATTGTGTCATCAAATATTTATTCCACTTATAGCCAATCCTTATTTTACCTTATATGGTGTTTAAAATTTTTCTCCCTTTGTTAACAAAGACTTGTTAAATTATAAATACATATTTACATAACAAATAAACATACATGACAGCACACATTCTTTCTCAAAATTATTGAAAGGATATCAAGCAAAAACGTATGCAGACTGTTGACCCAGTCAAACCTGGGCTGACCCCACAGCAGTGTCCCCAATCAGTTGACATCTTCTTCATATCTCATTTGTACACTCACTGGGGATGGTGAAGTTGACAGCATCATGTCATAGCATTTTGTCCTCCAGAATTTTTGACTTAAAGAACTCTCCACACTATCATCAGAAATTTATCTGACATGGAGATCAATGACCCAAAGGCAATCTGGGTCACATAAATCACTTGAAAGTTGAAAGCTGAATGTGCAGTATACCAAGGAGTGTGCATCATGGTCACCTTGTGAGTTATGCAAATATACAGCAGCTCAGTATTGTCTTCAGAGGGCTGCATATATTTCTGATGCAGTGCCTCGTTTTGAAATAATTAAAAATAGTATGAAGGCAAGTAAATGGATATGATCCTGTCTCTGGAAATTTATGCTAAGGAATTAGAGATCTACACAGTGATTACAGCACGAGAATGTTTATATTAGCACTGCTTCTAATATAAAAAGTGGACATTTCTTAATATTTAAGAACAGTTGAATTATTTAATGAATTAACATATTGTTACAAAATAAATTTGAGCCATTAAAGTAATAATCTCAAATATTTGAGGTGTGAAAGTGCTTACAATATAATGCTATGATAAAACCTTAAGCTGCTCTCTAATGCAGACTAATTCCCAAATTTATGAAAACAAATAAAAAAATTTATGACTATATCATAGAGAATATACAAGAGTGAAACACTTATAATTGTGTTTAATGATATAGAATTGGATTTTGTGATTATTATTGTTTTATATATTCTTTTTTGTTTTACTCTTCTATTTTCTATTTACAGGTAATAAATTCTGCTAGCCTGTAATGGCACTTAAGATATATACTTAATAATTTGAAATAAAAATATGTATTATATTTCAATTATTTTATTTAAAGTTTTCTCTTTAAGTTATAGTCAAGATACATTCTAATACGTTTTTAACATACTTCAAGAATTCAGATGAGGATGTTTTATATTCCAGACTAAATATGTAACTAGATTTTTTAAATGAGCAATACAAAAGTAATGAATGCAAATGTACATATAATATTAATTTAATAATCTTTGTTTTTATAATTTTCTCATGTTCTAATAACACATATATATGCCACCAAGTAGAAAAATATATTTATTTTTGTTATAATTAAAAGCAAGCCAAAGATAAAATGTATGGGTTCTACATGTAAAGTATAACCAATACTTGTTTAAATACTATCCCCTAATTTCGATACGCAGACCACCAGTGCTTTATGAAAAACTGTCTGTGACTTGTCAATGAGTAATTAACTTCCAATTGTGTTATAGCAAATATGCAAGTATTAACTATTTGAATGCCAGTGAGACAGATTTTTACTTGAAATTGGAAAGTCAGAGGCAAAAATGGTATGAAGCAATGTTAAAGACACTGCAGAGAATATATATATATACACATATATATTTTTAAATATAAATGTTATCATTGATTTGCTTTTAACTATAACAAATATATATATGTATATGTATCCTGGGAGTAGGGAAGACAATACAAACAGAAATTGTATATAATTTCTATACATATATATATTTATATATAATTTCTATATATAGTCTACCGTATTCCCAGTATTTTGCTTCCGTTGTTTCTGTTTTTCTCACTATATTTTATCATTAAACTATTCAAAGATACAATATATATTATCACTGAAACAGCAAATTTGCAGAAATATAAACAGTAAACATAATTTCCCAAAACTTTGAAGAAAAAGTAAATTAGGCTATAACTTTATTTTATATAAATATATAAGTACATGATAATTCTTTTGAAATGCTATAATTGACCAATTTTGAATAGACTAAATTTGATTTTTTCTAGCAACTGATGTAAGAGAAATGCAGAAAGAACCTAAATGTAAAAATAGAATGACTTTTTTACATCTTAAGAATATATACCTTGAGCAAAGAATATGAGATAAACACAGAATGAATAGATAAAGGCTCTGAAAGATTCTTAAATATATGCAGCAATTAAAATGAAAGCATTTTAGATCAATGAGCCCAAACTCCTCACACTACATACAGATGAGTGGACCAAGATCCCAAAGAGATTTTACAAATGTATCATATTCACAATCCCACTGCTGCTCATCAATCATCAAAAACTCTCTGAAGCATCAGGAGTAAAACAGTGACAACAAAAATATCGTAGCAGTGAATGTTGAGGAATTAAGAATATTATGCATAATAGCATCATGAGACTAGGCGATACCAGAATGGACAAGCACTAAACAATAAACAATAAAAATGATGTCTATAGCCTAAACGCTCCATGTAACACCATTAATGTCCAGTTCACTATTTCTCTTATCAAAATCTTATAGCAAACCACATCTTACAATACACAGCAGTGGCACTAGTAGGCTGATTAGATAAATAAAATTTAAATGATAACGCTACTTATGTTTCCATGCTTTTTTCCTCCCGTGGGGTTATTTTGCTCATTGATCTTAGATTCATTTTGAGCTCTTTTATCATCTTATGACATATAATACTTGTTCAGTATTAAAACTGTCACTTGATGGATATACATACCCCAGTATGCATATTGTCAAGGATATTACTTAATCCATAATGTACTAAAAAAGAAAATAATAATAATAACTCTTATCTGGAAAGTGGGAAAAGATAAAAGGACTATTATCTACCACACTCATTATATTCCAAATTAAATAAGAAAACAAAAATATTATAAGACAAAGTGAAACCCTGTAAAAACATAAGATGATATGATTTATGAGCCTTTAATCTTTTAGAACTAACTTAAATTCCACTTTTGTCCTAGTTCCTTCACAGAAGTCATTTAGCTAGTAAAAGAAATTCATTCTAGCTCTTCATATTTTGTCTTGCAATAGTTCCTCTACTCCATTTTGTGGTTATAATGACTTGGATTCCAGTGTTCTCTTTGTGATTACCAGTTTATGTCGGATCTGTGTTTCTGAAGTTTCATCATAATTTACTTCGTTTTTACCTCATCTACTTAGGCATTGTGGATTTTGCTCTTAGTTGCTTTGATCATAGACAACTGGAAGTGTCTCAGTGACTCCTTATCTTTGCTTAGGATAAGATAAAAACCCTCACAATGACCCATCAGGTCCCTAACGATTTCTTCACTCTTCACTACATTTTCACATCGTGATCTTATGTGACATGTTGTCTAGAAATAAACTGATTTCAGTTCCCTATTTTGTCCCTTTCCTTCTCTCTCCATTTAATCTGTTCCTAGTGCAGACATGTCCTGCATTTCTTCTTGGGTCCCTACCTGGCTAATTCCTACACAGTATTTTTTTAATCAGTGCAAATATCATGTCTTGAGAAAAACACTTTTTAATATGCCTGTTCATATTAGGTGAGTTATCTTGGTGCTTCTGTGGAAGTGTGTGAAACATATTATCATCATATTGATTCCAATGTATTTCATTAATGTCTCACCCACAAAAATGGAAGACCCTGAATGAAAAGGAACATGCCTGTTATATTTGTATTGCTTCATCCCTGCCCCATAGTAATGGATCATTACATTTTGGTTCAATTTATATGAATCGGTAATCTTCCAGACTTTGAGAGTTTGATTATGATATCTCTTAAGACAGACTTATTGGGATTGAGTCTGTTTGGTCATCTTTGATCTTTATGTCCTCGGATAATCATATGTTTCCTTAGGTTTGGGGAGTTTTCTGTTATTATCTCTTTGAATATGTCTTCTACCTCTTGGCATGCTTAAGAGCCTCTTGAACACTAATAACTTAAACAGTTGCTCTTTTGATGTTCTCCCATAATTCCTCTAGACTTTCTTTGTTCCTTTTCATTCTTTTTTTCTGACTGTGTGTTTTCAAATCTCCTCTCCCTGACTTCACTAGTTATTTCTTCTGCTTGATCAGTTCTGCTATTGATGCTCTTTACTGTATTTTTCGTTTGGCTTATTGTAATTTTCAAGTCTAGGATTTCTGTGTGATTTTTTTTTAATTTATTTCATTCTCTCTGTTAAGTTTTTTTTTTCTTTTTAAATAAATTGCTGAATTGTCTCTCTACATTTTCTTGGACCATGTTGAGTTTGCTTAACCTTTTTACTGTTTAGGGAAACAAAGGGTGCAGTTTGCATCCTTATTAAATGAGTATTTAATTTTACATGAGCACATTCTTTGAGATCAAAGCAAATCTTACTGATTTGCGATATGAAAATAAAATATAAAATCTGTTCTTGTAGCTGTTTCTAAACAGAGCTAACATCTGAATTGTCTATTTTGAAAAAAGCAGATTCGTCAAATAAATCTTTGGCCAACAAATATTCAAGAATGATGTTAGCATCACACATAGAGATCCAGCGTTTTCCAGGATTTGACATTTTCAATGATCAAGAATTTCTATATTTTGTAAATGGAAATGGAACTACTAAAATCAGAATGCTATAAAGAAAATGACGTCTTTTGTTTCCAAAGTCAATATACTAGAGCGATATAAAAATAATAATAAAACTGATGTATTTCTCGGCAAAGTTATCTCAGGGTAAACACTGCCGCCTTGAGTGCCAATGACTGGTATTCTCAGGACAAATGGGAAAAGGGTTTTAAAGCTATTTTGAAATCTCTAAGAGATCACACATCTCCATCACTTTAGGGTTGGTCTCTGGTGCCTTATTTTGTCTGTTTGGTGAGGTCACGGTATCCTAAATATTCTTGATGTTTGTGGATATGCAATGACACCTGCATACTGAAAAATTAGGAATTTAGTGTTTGCCATCTGGCGTGTTTTTTTGTTTTTTTGTGTTTTTGTTTGTTTGTTTGTTTTTGAGACAGAGTCTCGCTCTGTCACCCAGGCCGGAGTGCAGTGGCGCCATCTCGGCTCACTGCAAGCTCCGCCTCCCGGGTTCACGCCATTCTCCTGCCTCAGCCTCCCGAGTAGCTGGGACTACAGGCGCCCGCCACCACGCCCGGCTAATTTTTTAAATATTTTTAGTAGAGACGGGGTTTCACCGTGTTAGCCAGGATGGTCTTGGTCTCCTGACCTCGTGATCCGCCCGCCTCGGACTCCCAAAGTGCTGGGATTACAGGCGTGAGACTCCGCTCCCGGCAACCATCTGGGGTTTTAGTGCTTGTTCTTCACGAGATTTCTAAGCAGACTGATTATTTTCTTTCAGCCGGTGGTCACTGCCTCTGTATCATCGCCAGATAATGCTCTAAGCCCATTTTTGTTACTAGTCTGCAGGTGTTGTGTTGCCCCATGTTCAGCACTAGATGGCAGCCTAAGCTGAGGTTTGCCGCAGGTCTACTGCGGATGTTTTGTTCCTGAAGGAAGGGAAATCTGGCATGTGGGTCCATGGATTTCTGTCTGAGGCTGAGGAAGATCCAGATGCTCCATCCACAGTAACCAGCCTAGAGTGAGGCACTGCAGAGCTCCACTCTACTCTGTCTCATTGTGAAGGACCCGATGCTGGTCTCCAAGGCTATGTTTTCTTTCAACCTCCTTCTCCTTTCCTTAAACACACAGCATCCCTGTGCATGCTGTGCTGCCTAAAATTGAGGGATGGATTAAGTAGCCATTCCCACAGTCACCATGGCTACTGCAATGCTAGGTCATATTTGAAGTCCATGGTCACTGGGACCAGGGCAGCTATGGCCTCCTTGTCACTGAGGTTCGCCTGTGGTCTGAGGCTGCTGTAAACCACTGGGTAGTGCTGGCTGGAACATGAGACCATACTGCTGGGGCTGTAGGTTGCCTTTTAGAGCTGAGGCAAGTCCAGGTGGCTCTATCTGTCTGTGGGCCGTGGCCTGGAGCCAGAGGTTGTGGGATTCTGCCCAATACTGGGCTTCATGCTGGGTTTCACCCTGGTAGGCCTGGCACGGGACTCCACGCCAAAGTCCTGCAATTACTTCCCTCTCGCTTCCTGAGAGTTTTGTCTGTCTCTGAGTTGTGCTTCTTGGAGTTGGGAGAGGGGTGAAGATGGCAGTGTGACTCTGTCCTTCTTGCCCTCTTCATTGCATCTTTTTTTGTTTTTATGCTAAAATCAGGTACTTTGACCTCTCACCTGGTATTTTAAGCTCTTGTGAGGGTACCTTGGCACTTGAATAGTTGCTAAATTTGATGTTTCTGTGGGTAGATGATCACTGGAGGGTCTTATTTGGCCATTTTGCTCTGCCTCTTCTTTGCTGATTTTTATTTATGTATTTATTCATTTATTTTATTTAGTTATATACGTATTTTTTGAGACAGAATCTCATTTTCTCATTCAGACTGGAGTGCAGTGGCATCATCGTGGCTCACTGCAACATCCGCCTCCTGGGTTCAAGTGATTCTCCTGCCTCAGCCTCCTGAGTAGCTGGGATTTCAGGCACGTGCCTCCACGCCTGGCTAATTTTTGTATTTTTGGTAGAGATGGGGTTTCATCATGTTGGCCAGGCTGGTTTCAAACTCCTGGCCTCAAGTGATCCGCCTGAATCAGCCTCCCAAAGTGCTGGGATTACAGGCATGAGGCCTTTTCTGATTTTTAAATCTTTTCATAGACTTAAAACATATTACTGTGTCCTGCTTCATTTTTAACCTCTCATAAACTACTATACTTTTATTTACACTTACGATTTGTTGAAAAATAGTTTTGAATTGCTTTATTTTTAGTTTGTAGTGTTTAATATCTTAACTTCCATTAAACACAAAATAGTGGAAACAAAAACTAATGCAGAAAAAATTCATGAAACAATTCCAAAATAATCTTATTGTTCAGGAAATGCATAGTTTAAAATTTAAGAAAAGAGAAGTTTGTGTACAAAATACAAATGCAGGCAAGTGTTCGCGTAAATCAAGGTAATAAGGGATTTCTCAATTTTGGTTTTGTTTTCTTAGTTGTGATGTAGTGAGTGCTTAAATATATAAGATTTATACTTCTCACATTTTGCTTTTTCTAATTCAAGAAGCTCTGTGCTGTTTTTTTTTTTTTTCTTGAAGTATTACTTGAAACTTTGTTTGACTGGGATTTGCATCATGATTTTTTTAATTCTAGGTTTTATGCTCATATATCACGATACATCTTTGATGATGGTAGATGATTTTTGTATTATTTATTCAAGGTTCTTGAAGTTTTAAAGCTCGATGACAATAAAAGAGAAAAGTCTAAATATAAGAAAATATTTTGAGCGCTACAATGTAGATTATATATATATATCCTTTTATAATTAAATATGGAAATTAGAATAATTTTTATAGGATACTTTTGCAGAACTGAATTGCTCTAATTATTCCTGTGCTTTGAAATACTATGGCTATTTGTCACATGTGGGTATTCCACTTTAAATTAATTAACCTTAAGTAAAAATTTAAAATTATATATTCATTCCTATGCTCAGGAAATCTCTATGGCCAGTGTATACTGCATTAGATAATATAAGCCTTCACATTGTCACAGAAAGTGCTATTGTACAGAATTATTTAAACAACGTAAGGCAACTGAAATGATTGTGAAGCAAAGAACAGTTTACCTATTAAAACGTGTATCACTTTTGTAGCATTCGACCTTATCAGTAAGGTCCTTGCTTTTTAGCCTGTTAATATATGTGTTTTTAAATTGCTAATGGTTTTACTTGGAGAACTGAAGTTCATTCTAAACAAAGTTACCTTAATGCATATCAGTAAATATAGTCATTTGCTAATTGATACTCATGTGATCATGCAAGGAGTAATGTGTCACAGATTTAATTCTCTCAAAAACTATACTGTATCCTCTGATTAGTGCCTATTTTGTCGTGCTTAAATTGCTTAGAGTAGGAGTTGGTCAAATTAATTTAATCAATTATCTTTCAACTCGTGTGAGTAAAACCAGATCTTTAAGGAATAATTTTACCTTGAAAGTTCAGTAAACTTTTCCTCTACTTTTGCTTTGCTTCTGGAATTTAGATCCTCTGACCGTCTTCAAATGCCCAGTTAGTTTTTAATATATTCTTTCTATATCCTAAAGAGTTAGTCCATACCCTAATGAAATGGAATAATTTATTGGGTATTTATGGAGTCTGTTACTCCATCCTAAAGTGAATCTTCAGCGTGAGAATGGTTTGATCATTCTTTTGTTCAGCTTTACATTGCTTGGTTGGTATGATCAACGTTACTCTTTGGTCAAATTATTGACAAGTAAATTTAAGAATAACTATAAACATCCACTTAGCTCAAATAGCTTATACTTGGCATTGGTCCAGATGAACAGACTGGTTTTGCATTGTTCTTACAGAGGCTGATAAAATATTATGTTCAGCAAAACTTTCAAAGGGAGTGAACTCATTGTAGAGCTTCAGAAGAACAATATTGGTGATATATATTACCTCGACCTGCAAGGAAATATTTACACTACGGTAATTCTTTAACAACAAGAACATAAACTGTCAAAATACTTACTTTCTTTAAAACCTACGCTGAATTTTTTGTTTAGAAAGGAGCCCTTTTCTTTAAACATTTTAATAAGCATCATTCTATGTGCTTATTAAATCACAATTAAAAATTATGATTAAAATATTAAAAGACAGGCTTTGAGTAGCAGCTCAGATGTCTCTGTATTAGCAAAAGAGGCAAGGGAAAGAAAGTTGTTTTACTTGGGCAAGATATCCAGTGGTTTGAGAATTTAAGTGAAATTTTATATTGCAAAAATGTGTTTTTGTTTTCTTTTTTTTTATTTTATTATACTTGAAGTTTTAGGGTACATGTGCACATTGGGCAGGTTAGTTACATACGTATACATGTGCCATGCTGGTGCACTGCACCCACTAACTCGTCATCTAGCGTTAGGTATATCTCCCAATGCTATCCCTCCCCACTCCCCACACCCCACAACTGTCCCTGGAGTGTGATATTCCCCTTCCTGTGTCCATGTGATCTCATTGTTCAATTCCCACCTGTGAGTGAGAATATGCGGTGTTTGGTTTTTTGTTCTTGAGATAGTTTACTGAGAATGATGATTTCCACTTTCATCCATGTCCCTACAAAGGACATGAACTCATCATTGTTTATGACTGCATAGTATTCCATGGTGTATATGTGCCACATTTTCTTAATCCAGTCTATTATGGTTGGACATTTGGGTTGGTTCTAAGTCTTTGCTATTGAGAATAATGCCGCAATAAACATACGTGTGCATGTGTCTTTATAGCAGCACGATTTATAGTCCTTTGGGTATATACCCAGTAATGGGATGGCTGGGTCAAATGGTATTTCCAGTTCTAGATCCCTGAGGAATCGCCACACTGACTTCCACAATGGTTGAACTAGTTTACAGTCCCGCCAACAGTGTAAAAGTGTTCCTATTTCTCCACATCCTCTCCAGCACCTGTTGTTTCCTGACTTTTTAATGATCGCCATTCTAACTGGTGTGAGATGGTATCTCATTGTGGTTTTGATTTGTATTTCTCTGATGGCCAGTGATGATGAGCATTGTTTCATGTGTTTTTTGGCTGCATAAATGTCTTCTTTTGAGAAGTGTCTGTTCATGTCCTTCGCCCGCTTTTTGATGGGGTTGTTTGTTTTTTGCTTGTAAATTTGTTTGAGTTCATTGTAGATTCTGGATATTAGCCCTTTGTCAGATGAGTAGGTTGCGAAAATTTTCTCCCATTCTGTAGGTTGCCTGTTCACTCTGATGGTAGTTTCTTATACACCAACAACAGACAAACAGAGAGCCAAATCATGAGTGAACTCCCATTCACAATTGCTTCAAAGAGAAGAAAATACCTAGGAATCCAACTTACAAGGGATGTGAAGGACCTCTTCAAGGAGAACTACAAACCACTGCTCAAGGAAATAAAAGAGGATACAAACAAATGGAAATTAACATTCCATGCTCATGGGTAGGAAGAATCAATATCGTGAAAATGGCCATACTGCCCAAGGTAATTTACAGATTCAGTGCCATCCCCATCAAGCTACCAATGCCTTTCTTCACAGAATTGGAAAAAACTACTTTAAAGTTCATATGGAACCAAAAAAGAGCCCGCATCGCCAAGTCAATCCTAAGCCAAAAGAACAAAGCTGGAGGCATCACACTACCTGATTTCAAACTATACTACAAGGCTACAGTAACCAAAACAGCATGGTACTGGTACCAAAACAGAAATATAGATCAATGGAACAGAACAGAGCCCTCAGAAATAACGCCGCATATCTACAACTATCTGATCTTTGACAAACCTGACAAAAACAAGCAATGGGGAAAGGATTCCCTATTTAATAAATGGTGCTGGGAAAACTGGCTAGCCATATGTAGAAAGCTGAAACTGGATCCCTTCCTTACACCTTATACAAAAATCAATTCAAGATGGATTAAAGACTTAAACGTTCGACCTAAAACCATAAAAACCCTAGAAGAAAACCTAGGCATTACCATTCAGGACATAGGCATGGGCAAGGACTTCATGTCTAAAACACCAAAAGCAATGGCAACAAAAGACAAAATTGACAAATGGGATCTAATTAAACTAAAGAGCTTCTGCATAGTGTTTTTGTTTTCTAAAGGAAAATAACTTGCTGCCTTTTATACATTTTTGTGGGTCCAATTCTATTCATGTGTGTTTTTAATTAACTCAGTAGGTATTTTATCTATGGCATAAATGGAAAACTTCATAACAAATTGAAAATTGCATTTGCCTTACAAAATATAGTATTACAAATCCGTATACTAGAGGTTACCCAAGGCTAAATGCCTTTTTTCATAACATAAAAAACTAAAGTATAGAGGGAAGACTTTTAGCACGTTTTGGAATCAAACAGGAAGACACAGCTAAATATATGATGTGATGATGGTTAAGCTTCTTGCTGAACGTTTTCTAAGGTTATAAACCTGCTCTCTGCCTTTGCCTGTATGCTACATAATTTATAATGTCTAATTATTTTTGGAAGTTAGTTGCAAGCATGAAGAAGGCAAGGGCATGTTCTTGAATAGTTTCTACAAACTGACCTATTTCTCATTTATTTCTATTGTGCTGCGTGTAATCCTCACACTTGAAGGTCATGCAAGCTTGTCTAAAATACCTTAAGATATACAAACTGCAGTTTAATGTGGGTTTTGCCTGCTTGCAGGTAAACTAATCACAAGACCATTACATTAATCCAGTAAAATTTGTATATTATTTTGTGCTCTTCTGAATATACTTCATAAGAGCTCAGTATCACAATATATAGATAAATTTTCAATATAATTTTACTTAATATAGTATCAGTATTTTTTTGGAGAAGTACAAATCTTCTGTTATATTTCTTCATATCTTGTCTATTAACCTAATGAAGAACTTTGGCTCTTCCAGAATGTCATGTGAATTTCTACAGTTAGTCCAGAGTTGTGACCTATCTTTTGCAGTATGATTTTGACTTTGTTCCATGAATCCTCCAGTAGGTCAGAGTATTCCCGAGAGATCAGGGAAGTACAGGGCATGTGTTTGCAGAGTGCAGAGGACTAATACATTGCCCTCTTTAAATGAAATATGCCACCTTAATGATTAATGGTGTAAGTTTAATGTCCTGAGAAACTCACAAGGACAGACCTAGTTTTCATTATAATCTTCATACATGGGGGAAACACAGAATTTTGTTTATATTTAGATATAAAACTGATTGTTTAGTATCTATATTCTCTTTTAGCATATAATACTTCCAAAACATAAAGTGATCTCATAATTAATGACACTTCTTTTGAATAACACAGCCTCACTACTTTGGTAGTTGTAATTAAAAGTCCAAGTTCAATCAAAATGTCACGCAAGGTTCTTATTCAACAAACTACCAAATTCCCCCGACATTTCATTTGCTTCGAGACACTGCAGCAAATTGTTCATTTATTGATCTTGAATTGGTAGGTAGATATGTCTATATATCTATATCTATATCTTTCCAGTTTCAAATATAAGAATATAATCAGTAATTAAAAGAAACAAAGCTCTTCTTAACACAAATTGCCAAAGAAATTTGTTATGTAGAGCTTCCTAAGGAGATTATGGAGGAAAACAATATAAAATGCTGCAAAATTCTCAGCAAACTATCGCAAGGACAAAAAACCAAACACCACATGTTCTCACTCATAGGTGGGAATTCAACCATGAGAACACTTGGACACAGGAAGGGGAACATCACACACCTGGGCCTGTCATAGGGCGGGGGGAGGAGGGAGGGATAGCATTAGTAGATATACCTAATGTAAATGATGAGTTAATGGGTGCAGCACACCAACATGGCACATGTATACATATGTAACAAACCTGCGTGTTGTGCACATGTACCCTAGAACTAAAAGTATAAAAAAAAAATTGTCATACGTTAAAATGTACTTTTTGGATGTATTAAAAAAAAAGAAAGAATGCTGCAAAAACAGTTTTAGAGTAAAAGAGGAAACCTGTTTAGGTTTTGTTTGTGTTTTTGTTTTGTTTTCTTTCTTCTTTTTTTTTTCTGGAGACAGGGTCTCACTCCATTGCCCAGGCTGGAGTGAGTGGAGTGAGGGAGTGAGTGGCACAATCACGGTTCACTGCAGCCTCAACCTCCTGGGATCAAGCAAGTGATCCTCCCATCTCAGCCTCCCAAGTAGGTGAGACTACAGGTGTGTACCAGCACACCTAGCTAATTTTTGTTTTTTGTAGAGGTGAATTTTTGCCATATTGCCCAGGTGGGTCTCAATGTCGTGGATTAAAGCAATCTGTCCACTTTGGCCTTCTAGTGCTAGGATTAGAGGCATGAGCCACCACGCCTGGCCAGAAACCTGTTCAATCTAGCTTAATATTGTATCACCCTAAAAATAATGAGGATTATTTTTAATTGAGGTTAAATAAAAGTGATTTTGAAGAAGATTAACAAATGAATACTCTATTATATACGTCTAACTCAGTGTTCTGGCCGTAATGGTGAGAGGAATATATCATTTAAACAATGGTCTATAAATAATTAATTTAGCTGTAATTAAAGTAAGAGTAAATATTAGACAGTTTGATGATATAGCTTCTGTGAACCCGGAAAGTTGATAACTCAGATTTTGTGTTGTGGATAGATTCATGTAATTGAGAAATGAGACAAACAGATTATAAGGTACACTAGGTACTATAAAAACTTAGAGATGCTCATTGGATGGAGCATTTTAGAAATATTGGTTATGGTAAACTACATCTTTCTAATGTAAAATCATAGTTTTTTATCTTCAAAATGCATTGTCTTAAGGGTTTAAACCTTCAGGGAGGAGAAAGAGAGAGTAATTCCAACTGAACATCAAAAACTCATAGTAGGATTTATATATCATATATGTATATGAGGGATTTAATATTAAGCATGAAGCAAGTTATTCTGAAGGAGCTGAAATGTTTTATATTTAGGTATCTTGTAGAATGATAGATCAGAGTGCTAACAAGTTCCATCTAGGGATCTTCCATTTTTCACCCCCTGACTGGTGTTAAAGTGCACTTTTTCTGAGGAAGAGACATGATTAAGAATATAGAGCCAATGACTATATGGCAAAAATCTATGTCTCATACATGCACCTCTCTTACATCTTTCTTAGGATGGCTATATGGAAGACTTTTTAATGAATTTATTAAAGTAAATCCTGGGCTCCAAGGTTATGGTAAAAATATGGATGAAGCATATTAAAGAAAGAAAGCATTTTATATATCATATGCTTCTGCCATCTATCAAGTATCCCAGCTTTTCCTAAAATATATCTATTAAACAAAGTAGGTCTTCAAGAGAAAATAAGAGGTATATCAAGCAATCACTTAGTTTTACTAAAAAGTTTTTAGGCATGTTCCTCGAAGTGAGAGATGTAATATATTTAATGAATAGATAATGAAACATGTGGCAGTTTTGTTGGTTTCTGATTAGTTCCTTATTGCAAAATTGAAGGTTGTATCTAATTGGGCTATTGTCAAATATAATGAAGATAAATCAATGTGATAGGGTTTTTGATGGAAATACCTCAAAATCTGTTCAATAATTAAGTAACATTTTTATGCCAAATCTCTTTATTTCTACTTATTTATATGAATATATTTCTCATCCCACACATTATACTGCAAAGGTAGCATATATCTAATGTTGAACCTCTTTCATTCATTAATAAGTTATATTCATCCAAAGACAGTGAACTAATTGGAGAAAAATTCATTAAAAGAATATTTTTGGATGATTTATGTTTTTATTATATTTTTTAAATTTTTAATTGTAATTATCTTTAATAAATTTATACTTTGTCTTTTTAGCGATGATAAAACAAATTTATAATGTAATTGTCTTTTTATCAGTTGAATACAAATTTTAATTGTACTTTTACCTCAATCCTCAAGAAATTTTTTTACATGTTGGTGTTGGGCATTAGAAGCAGTAAGCTAAAAGGACAAGTATATTGTGTTAGGCTTACAATGGAGATAATGGAAGAGATACAGTTATTAATCATGAAAACATCTTCGAATGAGCAGGAGAGAGGCTCATGAAGTGAATGTGACAAGATCATAGGAGGATAGATCAACAACCTAAGAGTTCAAAGTATCAGGAAATTATCTATATGGTAACTGAAATTACCAACAATTATGACTGGAATGATTCCTGGGAGTATGGCAGTGGGTGAACCAAAAGAGGAAATCTTCCAGGAATGAGGGCTGATAAGCGTAGTGACTTGTGTAGTGTCGTGATGTGAACTTTAAAGGTTAAGGGGGAGGGAGACGAGAGAGAGAATTATCTGGAACTAATACTGAGATACATAGAGGACATCCACCCACCTCCATGCCCATTGGAAGAGGCAGCAAAAGCAGCCAAACTGGAGAAATAATAGAAAAGCAGTGCATGATTTTTCTGAATCTAGTTCAGAACTTCACTTTGTGGATCAGGAAGAGATTTTGAACTTTGTGCAAATTCATAGTCACTGAATTGTGAAGAATTGTACAGTGCAGAATGTGAATATAAATGAATACAGATCAGTTCCTCACACTTTCTACAGCTTTAGTAAATTGATCACTCACATTTAGAATAATGAATCTCACACATCACAAATTCCTCCTCCAGAAAAAAAAAGACGACACGATGTCTTTCACATTCTAAAATGGTAAGTATGCATATTCATTTCACTTTTAAATATGTTTAGTGGAAAGGATGACATTTAAAATATTTTATCTTGTTAATGTTCTTAATGTAAATCAGATATCAAATTAATGTTTTCATATAGAAATAATGGGAAATGAAACAATTTAGAGGAATATGACACTAAAAGCTGGATTCAATTTTTAAAATCTTTTTTAACACTATTCATTCATTTCATTTACTGCTTCACTTATTTTTGACCTAAGATAACATCTGACTATATCCCTAATGCTCTACCTACACCTGGCCCCCAGTAGCATTAGGTGAGGCAGGCCTCAGTGCCAGCAGTGCAGGGCACCATTTGATTTGCCCAAATTTACAAGCGAATGCTTTAAATGAACATATTTAAGCTTCTGAGAGAGCGAAGATCAAATGCTAGTATTGTGGGAAAATATTTTTCTGTGTAAATTTCTTTGCTTTCTTTTATCAGGCAATGAAAATTTTATAATGTAACATTTTTATTCTGCCTTAACTGCCGGTAAACTCAAAATCCAGGGTTCACCTCTAGGAACAAGCTGATTATAAGCAACGAGATAAGTGCTTAGACACATTTATTTCTCATGGTTTAAAAAGTCTTCAGTTCTGTTAATGGATTTTAGTGCCCAATTTAAGACTGTGTTTAAGGTTGTAACATATTTAATATCTTTTTGGAAGAAGTACTGTTTTAATACAAGCATAAATATGTTTTTCTTTCTGTATGTTTGTTCTTCAGATTGCATTATTTTTAAATGTTTCATGAAAAGCAGAACAAGTGAGAAAAACTGTAATTTTTTACATGTAAAAAAGATTTTTGAAAGTCCTATGGTTATTTCTCCACTAGGAGAAGGTTCACACTTTGAGAGAAAAAATTATTTATACCAATATTTGCTAATGTTTATTAGATGTGGAAATTTCTAGTTGTTTCTACTGTTTTAATATAGATAGCTCGTTCTGTAAAGCAAGAATAAGCTATTTATTATATTTATGTTACATATATAAATAAGACATAGCTCAGTTACATGTGGGATTTTATTTCAGAACACAGAGTCTGCAAATTTACTAGAAGTTCTCATTAGATACCTTTTTATATAACCAATGAACTATATCTCTTTACATAGACAGATATATGGATACAGATATAATATTATTATTTCTGATTTGAAGAAAAAGTGATTTTCTGTTAAGTCAAAAAAGAGAAAAGAATGGGTCAGCTTTGAGGCATAAAGATTACTTGTTTCATATACATGTCAACTAGTCTTTCAAGGAAATGTAATTGAAATCTCTTTTTCTGGATGAAACTTGTACAAATAGTACAAGTAAGCACTATGCTTTTATCTTATAATAATATATTACAGTTGCTTATGATTTCACGTAAGATCTGGCAATTCATAAACAAAAATTAAATCTGCAAACACTTCTTCCTGACTGATACACACACACACACACACACACACACACACCCTACACACAACTTATTTTTTAGAAGCATATTTTTAGAAGCATATGATAATATATGTTTCTAAGTTCTATCTTGTTCTCTAATTTCAAGTTATCTACTGTTTTATTCTTAATGACAGCATATTCTATATTTACTTCTTCTCAACCCTTACCTCCATACTCTAGCCTTCTTTTATTTATTTTTCATGAATAATGAGTTCATTGGTTATGCAAAAAGATGCCTAATGAGGACGTCGCATCCAGTAAATTCACAGGCTGTATGTTCTGAAATAAAATCCCACAGGCAACCTAGCTATGCCTTAAGTTACAAAAAGATGTATTTTCTTTGAATTTCTAAATTTGCAAAAGATAATGGAAAGCCAGTATGGTGAAGTAAATTTCAGAAACAGGGAGTTGAAAAAATAGTAGAAAATGAAAGCTAAAATCAGAATTTCCCTTAGAGACAACTGGCACTGCCTGAAAGCTGAAGCTCTGGGGACTAATGGCTGGAAACAGGAAAAGGAACATCAGGCCATTGGAGTTACAAGTACTGTATCCTTGAGCCTCTTGAAAATTTTGTCCTGCCCCCTCGACTTTATATTATCTCGAGGTTTGTACTCATCTCTAGGACTTAGCAGGTACAATACAAACTTTCTCTAGAAGAATGCTTCCTTAACCCTTAATCCTGGTTCCTTAGGCTTCTCACATTTTAATTATGATCTAAACAAACAATCAAAAAGGCTATCAGAAAATGGGCTACCTCGAGTGAAATTTAACAGAAACAATTATTCACAAGTTTAGATTTTTCAGTTACTTCAGTAATTGAAATTTTCAGATACAGAATATTAAAATTATATATACATCATATATATGTATCAATGCTTCAGAAATGAACAATGGAATAAAAATAGTAAAACCCAATAACAATAAAAACAATATATCTGACAAGTCTGAAAAAAATACATGACAAAAATATATTCATAAATTAATATTTTAATGAATAACTTAAGAGCTGAGTAACATAGCTAAGAACTGCTAGCACAAGATATGAAGCCATAAGCCAGCATGTATCACAGAGAGACAGGGAGATGGGAAAGATAAGAGAGCATTAAAGAGACATGAAAGGCAGAATGAAGGAAGATATAACACATATCTAATGTGAATTCCATATGGGGAGACTGTAAAGAATGAAGAAGAGGCCCTATTGAAGAGCTAACAGATGAGAAGTTTTCCCAATCTAATAAAAGACATGAATCAGGCCAGGCACGGTGGCTCACGCCTGTAATCCCAACACTTTGGGAGGTCGAGGTGGGAGGATGACCTAAGGTCAGGAGTTCGAGACCATCCTGGCCAACATTGCAAAACCCCGTCTCTACTAAAAGTACAAAAATTAGGTGGTGGTGAGCGCCTGTAATCCCAGCCACTCAGGAGGCTGAGGCAGGAGAACCACTTGAACCCGGGAGGCAAAGTATCCCAGGCCACATTTTACAAAGTTAAATTTATACCTACATTTAACATAATGGAATTTTTTTCCTTTTTATGAATTCTTATATAAAATGCATGCAAGTCTAATACTATGCATTATTTATTTAAAAATTATTAAAAACAATGTTTTTATATAATACTAGAATTGTTTTGAAAATGTTATGGGTTTAGTTGCTATAACTTTGGTTTCCAAAATTCAGTGGAGATTCAGTTTCAAGATCAGAAGTAGGCAAACTATGGCTTGCAGCTGACTGTCTCTTATTAAAATATAATACTTTGGTATAATACAGACATGCCCATTCAGTTCTTGTTTGTGGCTCCTTTTGACCTACAACAGCAGAGTTTAATGGTTTTGACAGAGACTGCATAGCCCACAAAGCATAATATATTTACTATCTGATTTTCTGTCTGTCTCTTGAAAATAAAAGTTGGCCGGTGCCTGCTCTGAATGAAGCCATTTTGATTAATTATCCCTGAGAGAAAAACATGATGTTAGATATCAGTGCCTTTGAGTATGTCTTTCGTTTTTGTTTGTATTTGTTTTCATTTTTTTTGAGATAGAGTCTCGCTCTGTTGCCCAGACTGGAGTACAGTGGCACTATCTCTGCTCACCACAACCTCTGCCTCCCGAGTTCAAGCAATTCTCTTGCCTTGGCCTCCCGAGTAGCTGGGATTAAAGGTGCGTACCACTGCACCCGGCTAATTTTTGTACTTTAAGTAGAGACGGGGTTTCGCCATGTTGGCCAGGCTGGTCTTGAGCTCCTGACCTCAGGTGATCCCTCCACCTCAGCCTCCCAAAATGCTAGGATTACAGACATGAGCCACCATGCCTAGCCCAAGTATGTCATTTAACATACACATCTCTAGCTTAATAATTATCTGGCGGTATATCAGAGTTATAAGAAAAGTCAACATGATTAAAGGATGAGGAGTATGGAGCCAACTTAAGACAGGGAAGAAGAGTTGTCAGGGCACTACAGGGAAGGAGCCTTGGGTGCATAGGAGCGCTGGGACATGTAAGTCCCTACAGAGGAGAGCAAGGGCTGTTCTGTCAGGTCAGGCCAACTCCAATAACAAACGATTCTGGCATCTCAAGGGTTAACTCAAATACAAAAATTATATATCTGTCACTACACAATCCAGTGGTATTTGTAGGACTGGTGGTTCTGATCCATGCAGATATATGGAGACCCCTATTCTTTTCATGTGTGGTTCCATATCGCTCTAGGACCTCAGGTGGGGAGGCTAGCACACTGCAGGTTTTTATAGTGCAGGCCTGTAAATGTCCTATATCACTTCTGCCCACATTCTGCTGATTATAACATGGAGGTATGGTTATGCCTGTGTATAAAAAAGATTAGAAAATGTAGCTTAACTGCAGTATTGCTTTAAAAAAAAATTTCGACACATTTTTGTGAGCAGTCTTTCCCATGGAAATTGGGGTGTGGAGGGCAAACATTCTAATTTATAGATTTGTAGGTTTAACATGGGCTGGGAAATAGTTCAAAAATTTTTTTGCAACAATTGCAATGTTCTACTTGATCTATGATTTGGGGCCACACTCCAGATCTAAAAGGTTCTGGCTGGGAGCTTTTTGGAAGTCCATTTCTAGTCCTGCACCTCAGCTGGGCTGTTAGAGTCATTCTACTCAAAGAGTAATCTGCAGACCAGCTTTGTTGGCATGACCTGGAAGCTCGTTTGAAATGCAGAATCTTAGGCTTCAACTCAGGTCTTCATTTAGAAATATCTTCAGATGATTTGTATGTACATTATTGATTTGTAAGCACTGGGTTGGAGTAATCTTCTTAGTTGTGTCTTGTGCTATTTGGTCTGACATATTCTTAATGTTTGCCCACCACACATGATATACTTACTCTTTTGATTTAGCTAGACATACTTACATTGCTTCTGGCTCAAAATCTTGCCATCTTGCAAGGAGGCTCAGGGGCTTGGTTTATCTTCCATTAGTGTAGAAAAATGTCAGAAGTTTGAAATCGCTCCAGTCATTTGAAAAAGTAATCTCAGGAATATTCCCCCCACCCCACATTTATTTAGTTGAGGAAGAAAAGGGTAAGACTTGCTAGAGATCTTCAAAGTAATGACTATAGAAGTTGAAAATAGATTATCTCTAATATTTCTCCTGCAGTATTGCCTTCTCAGATATAGCTAAGGTATAACCACAATTAACAAAATGCTTCAAAGTATGCGAAATCATAGTGTCTCATACAAGCACAATAATTGCTACTTGCAAGGTCTCCTTGTTGCTTAGCATTCATGCATGTTTTTACCATGTTCCTTTAGTAAATAATATGGTTGCTGTATTAGTCTGGGTTCTCTAGAGAAACAGACCAATAAATAAAGAGATTTATTATAAAGAATTGACTCAAGCAGTTAGGGAGGATGAGAAACCCCAGGATCTGTAGTTAGCCAGTTGGAGACCCAGGAAAGCCTGTGATATCATGCTAAACCAAACATGAAGGCCTGAAAATCAAAAGCGCCAATGGTGTAAGTTCCACTCCTGATCTGAATTCAAAAGCAAGAGAAGACTCATGTCCCAGCTTGAAGACAGTCAGGCAGAGAGAGTGAATTCTCTTGTATTCTGCCTTGTTATTCTATTTAGGTCCAACTACACTGGGGAGGAAGAAAATCTTCCTGAATGGGACTACTGATTCAAATGTTCATCTCATTGAGAAACACTCTCACAGACCTACTCAAAATAATGTTTCACCAAATATTTGGACACCCATCTCCAGTCTAACTGACACAAAACTAACCATCACAGGTACTATAACTGTGTTGTACTTATTTGAGTTTATATCCAATTGTTTATATTTTGTAATTCCATTATTATTTGTAATTATAGAAACATATTTGTCATAAATATTATATCTCTGGTTTTTCTCATCTGTTTCTATAGAAATTAAGTTACAGCATACATGCACATAAAGTCAACTAAATATGTGGCCCTAATGTTTCCAGATATTTAAAACCCCTCATAATCCAAGCAGATTTTAGGAGAAAAAAAAAGATTTTTTTTCAACTAGTACAAATGTAATTATCATAAATGAAAATATATCTGTGGAAAATAATCTCAAAGGCAATTTTTTCTCTTAAGCTCTCCATTTCTTTATCCTCCTTCTAGTTAGAGATTTATTGGAAAACATATCCAACTTATTTGATAAAGATTAATTTCTTATTTAAATATGATGTCCTTTAAAAAGTTTAGAATACAGAGTCTTCTTATTCTTTTTACAGTACCAATTCCCACCAAGATAAAAGAAAACCAGTTTAATAGAGGCTTAGTTCCCTACTTACTTTCTAGTTTTCATCATTCATGATACTCATATAACATGAACTGTGTATCATATACAAATACGCATCTGGGATACTCTCTACACACGCACATTATCATCATTAGCATCGTCATCACCATCATCATGATAGGTAGTTAATAAATTAAGATCATGGTAGCCAGTAGTTTCAAAAGTTTCACAAGCTTTTTATGTAACTCATCACTTGTTTTTTTCCAAGCCATAAGCATGCAATACTACAGAAATGAACTATCATTCTATTAGAAGAGAAGTGGGAAAAATGTTTGTACAGTGCTTGGTTTGAAAAATCTACCAGCTCACCACTGGGGAGTTCCATTCTAGAATTCTAGAAAATTTAATAATTTCCTCGATCCATAAAAAGAAGTGATTTAAAATATCTAATTCCATTAAAATTTGATTTCTTTGGACATACAAATTGGCTAAACCATTCATCCATTGGTGGAAAATTACTGCTTTACCTTAGTCGTTTGCTTTAAATCTGCAGATTGTCTATTTTTCTATATAAAGTAAATTTTCACATATGCTGTACATTTCTTTCTGCTCACCAAAATAAGACACAATGTCTAAATTCTACTTAGTCAACATGCAGTCTCTTTGACCTCATCAATTGAGGTGTACCTCAATCATGTCCCCATAGTGAACATACTGACTGGACAGACAGTAGCACTCACAGTGGATAGGGTTGGAACCCTGGGGCTGGTGTGAGGGCAACATTACCCTCAAGAACAACTGAAGAGGCAGCTGGAGTGGAAAAGTGGCAACCCAACATAGAAGTGCTAAGAGGAGGATATCTCCTAGTTGCTGCAAATGTTGCCTAAGAGGAAAAGAAGAAGCATCTTTTCATCTGACTAAAGCAACAGCAGTGTCTGATTTATTTGGATCTTTGTTACTTTAGATAGAGATAGTACTATTCCCTTTTAGGATAATGAGTCTAGAAGCATTTGTTTCCTAAGCCCACCCATGGCTAAAGGTGGAGTTGGAGGTTTTTGACTGATACAGGAAGTGATAGATTACCCCAGATTCCCTGTAAATGGACTGTCATGTGTAAAACTGCTCCCTGCAGCATCATTCTGGATACATATTCATCAATACCATCCGTATTATCGGTTGGGAGAAAGAGAGCTTCAGGATGGGGACTACTCTGATTACTGTATAGCTTTAAAGAGGTGGACAGGAGCCAGAAGGACAATGCAAAGTCATAGAGCCTTCTCAGAAGAGATTCCTAGCAGTGGCCTCCATGACTAGCTAATTCATAACCGTGACTAAACCAAATGGGGAAATTCTCAATAAAAGTATCAGAGTAGAAATGCATAAAGTTGATTGATACATAGATAATATCTCTCTTCTGCATTACTTCACATTCAAGTTAAAATGTGAGTGCAGAATTCAAGGAAGTCAGGTAAACAGCTCTAGATAAGTTTATTTTCATAATAAGCACTTCTTCCTTTAACATAAAAATTTCAATAATTAGATGATTTGCATTCTGAAGGAAATGAATTTCAAATATAAAAGTTTTACTTTTTTTTTTTTTTTTTTTTTTGAGATGGAGTCTCATTCTGTCGCCCAGGCTGGAGTGCAGTGGCGCGATCTCGGCTCACTGCAAGCTCTGCCTCCCGGGTTCATGCCATTCTACTGCCTCAGCCTCCCGAGTAGCTGGGACTACAGGCGCCCGCCACTATGACTGGCTAATTTCTTATTGTATTTTTAGTAGAGACGGAGTTTCACCATGTCAGCCAGGATGGTCTTGATCTCCTGACCCCGTGATCTGCCCGCCTCGGCGTCCCAAAGTGCTGGGATTACAGGCTTCAGCCGCCATGCCCAGCTTTTACTTTTTATTTCTTTTTTTTTTTCTTATTATACTTTAAGTTTTAGGGTACATGTGCACAATGTGCAGGTTAGTTACATATGTATACATGTGCCATGCTGGTGTGCTGCACCCATTAACTCGTCATTTAGCATTAGGTATATCTCCTAATGCTATCCCTCCCCGCTCCCCCCACCCCACAACAGTCCCCAGAGTGTCATGTTCCCTTTCCTGTGTCCATGTGTTCTGATTATTCAATTCCCACCTATGAGTGAGAACATGCAGTGATTGGTTTTTTGTCCTTGCGATAGTTTACTGAGAATGATGATTTCCAGTTTCATCCGTGTCCCTACAAAGGACATGAACTCATCATTTTTATGGCTGCATAGTATTCCATGGTGTCTATGTGCCACATTTTCTTAATCCAGTCTATCATTGTTGGACATTTGGTTTGGTTCCAAGTCTTTGCTATTGTGAATACAGCCGCAATAAACATACATGTGCATGTGTCTTTATAGCAGCATGATTTCTAATCCTTTGGGTATATACCCAGTAATGTGATGGCTGGGTCAAATGGTATTTCTAGTTCTAGATCCCTGAGGAATCGCCACACTGACTTCCACAATGGTTGAACTAGTTTACAGTCCCACCAACAGTGTAAAAGTGTACCTATTTTTCCACATCCTCTCCAGCACCTGTTGCTTCCTGACTTTTTAATGATTGCCATTCTAACTGGTGTGAGATGGTATCTCATGGTGGTTTTGATTTGCATTTCTCTGATGGCCAGTGATGATGAGCATTTTTTCATGTGTCTTTTGGCTGCATAAATGTCTTCTTTTGAGAAGCGTCTGTTCATGTCCTTCACCCACTTTTTGATGGGGTTGTTTGTGGTTTTTTTTGTAAATTTGTTTGAGTTCATTGTTGATTCTGGATATTAGCCCTTTGTCAGATGAGTAGGTTGTGAAAATTTTCTCCCGTTTTGTGTATTGCCTTTTCACGCTGATGGTAGTTTCTTTTGCTGTGCAGAAGCTCTTTAGTTTAATTAGATCCCATTTGTCAATTTTGGCTTTTGTTGCCATTGCTTTTGGTGTTTTAGACATGAAGTCCTTGCCAATGTCTATGTCCTGAATGGTAATGCCTAGGTTTTCTTCTAGGGTATTTATGGTTTTAGATCTAACGTTTAAGTCTTTAATCCATCTTGAATGAATTTTTGTCTAAGGTGTAAGGAAGGGATGCAGTTTCAGCTTTCTACATATGGCTAGCCAGTTTTCCCAGCACCATTTATTAAATAGGGAATCCTTTCCCCATTGCTTGTTTTTGTCAGGTTTGTCAAAGATCAGATAGTTGTAGATATGCGGCGTTATTTCTGAGGGCTCTGTTCTGTTCCATTGATCTATATCTCTGTTCTGGTACCAAACCCACAGTCAATATCATACTGAATGGGCAAAAACTGGAAGCATTCCCTTTGAAAACTGCCACAAGACAGGTATGCCCTTTCTCACCACTCCTCTTCAACATACTGTTGGAAGTTCTGGCCAGGGCAATTAGGCAGGAGAAGGAAATAAAGGGTATTCAATTAGGAAAAGAGGAAGTCAAATTGTCCCAGTTTGCAGATGACATGATTGTATACTGAGAAAACCCCATTGTCTCAGCCCAAAATCTCCTTAAGCTGATAAGCAACTTCAGCAAAGTCTCAGGATACAAAATCAATGTACAAAAATCACAAGCATTCTTATACACCAATAACAGACAAACAGAGAGCCAAATCATGAGTCAACTCCCATTCACAATTGCTTCAAAGAGAATAAAATACCTAGGAATCCAACTTACATGGGACTTGAAGGACCTCTTCAAGGAGAACTACAAACCACTGATCAATGACATAAAAGAGGATAGAAACAAATGGAAGAACATTCCATGCTCATGGGTAGGAAGAATCAATATCGTGAAAATGGCCATACTGCCCAAGATAATTTATAGATTCTATGCCATCCCCATCAAGCTACCAATGCCTTTCTGCACAGAATTGGAAAAAACTACTTTAAAGTTCATATGGAACCAAAAAAGAGCCCGCATCGCCAAGTCAATCCTAAGCCAAAAGAACAAAGCTGGAGGCATCATGCTACCTGACTTCAAACTGTACTACAAGGCTACAGTAACCAAAACAGCATGGTACTGGTACTTTTTATTTCAAAGAACAAAGTAAACACTTGTTTTGCAGCTTCAGTGGGTCAAGTATTAAGGAAAGGAATGACGTAGCTGCCTTGGGCACAGGGATGATGAATAACCATTAAATAATAATTTGATATGACTTGTTTCACGGAAATGAATTTTTACCAACCTTGCTCTGGGGAAGAAAAAGAAGAAGAATGAGGAAGAGGAAGAAGGAAGAGAAGGAGGAGGAAGAAGGAAGAGAAGGAGGAGGAAGAAGGAAGAGGAGGAAGAAGGAAGAGGAGGAGGAAGAAGGAAGAGGAGGAGGAAGAAGGAAGAGGAGGAGGAAGAAGGAAGAAAAGAAGGGGAGTAATGGCTTCCTAAATTTGGTGTGATCTGAACACAAATCCACTTAAACCCATGTAGCCTGGATCTTGTAATGTGCTCAGTTCAGTTCATTCATTCAACATGCATTTATTGAACATAAAGTATGTGTCAAGCGTGACACAAACTATACTTTTAAAAGTCTGTATGAGAAAAACTAATTGACAGCATACTATGTTTTCAGGACAGTTCAGTTAAATGAAGGTTACAAATCACATGAATGATTAAAACAAAGTAAGTCAAAAAGCCTACAACGAGTACTGTGATCGATGTCAACACTGACTGAGGAACTGAAGGGTGGGAGGTGAATTTTAACTCTGGAGGAGTAGAAAGGCTTCACAGAGGACAGGACTTAGACTTGGACTGGAAAAATGTCTATACTTTTTCCTGATAAAGAGACATGGATAAGAATTTCAGGCCTGGGAAACTGAAGGTGAAAATAAATATAAGTGGTATGTAGTTGACAAACATGGGAAATTTGGCTTACTCTTAAATGACGGAAGTGAGGTGAAGTAGAGATAGAAAAGTAGAATTGGGTCACATTGTGAAGAACCTTACATGTTATGAACATAAATTTCTTTCAAGCTGAGAGTTAGGAATCAATCAGTGTTTTGTTTTCTTTTCATTCAAGTATGCCAATATGTTTTAAAAGTATTTTTAAGTAACACTGGATATGAAAAATCGAGTGGTTATTGCGATGTGAGTTTTAAATCTGTTAGAGAAGTAGGCATGGAAAAACAGGAAAAGATGCATTCAAGAAGTATTTCTGACGCAGCTGACTGAATATTTAGGAAGATTAGAGGAACTGAGGATAAGGTAGATTTGTTGGCAAATTCTATATTTCCATCCCTGAGAAGAAAATTTTTCTTGTAAACTATACAAACTTCGGTAACAAAATACCAAATTCACATCATCTACACTGAACAAAATAGGTCACTAGTGATGTTCTTTCAGAATACCAAGTAGGGAGATTTGCATAGGCAATACTTTCTAAAATGTGTAGGCAGATGACAGTTTATAACATACCCTCCTCATTTGGAATCTGAGGAGACAAAATGAAACAAGACAAACAAGGTCATGCTACCAAAACCTGGATGATAGCAGCAAAGTAGAGGTCATATCTTACACTTTAAGCTTTATGTGTTTGTGTGTGTGAGTATAAGATGTTTCTTTTAGAGACCAAAATGCTTAAAGAAATTTTAAAGTATGTTTTGTTGAATTCAATTTCCTATTTTTTTTATATTGGTTTGACATTTCAGAAAATCTAGAATTAGATGAGCCCCAAGAAACACAGTACTTCCTCGTGGTAGACAGGGCATATTTGAAACAAAATTATGGAGTTCCAACATGGCTTGTTACCTTTTTTAGCTGTGTCATTTGAAGGAAGTGACTTAATCTTTTTGTACTATACTTATTTGTGAAACAAGAGTGATGGTATCCAGTATTATTAGTAGTAAAATACTATAGTTAAATTGAGGAATAAATCATAAAAGCACACATTGCCGTCAACAGAGGGAGGCTCTGATCTGTGCATTTTGCATATGTTGTCTCATTTAATCCTTATAACAAGCACATAAATTATGTGCTATGACCCCTATTTTACAGATGAAGAGACTATGATGCAGAAATGTGGAGTAACTTGGAAGTCAGCATTTGGCAGCCTTTGGGCTTGAACTCAAATGGTCAGGGTCCCCTGTCTGTCTTACAATCATGTTATTATCTTGACCCTTCGTGGATGGTTTTATTGTAAGCTTCATAACTGGATGATCTCATATATGTAAAGTATTTAGAGCAGTATCTGGCATTGATTAAGGGCCAGTAAATGTTGGTTGCTGTTTGTACCACTGCTATTTCACTACGACTTAATGTAATAGTTAAACTGGAGAGAATGAGCATCTGAAGCTAAATCCTTACCTGAAACACCCATATCTTCTCAACAATATTACTAATGCTTTTTTAAGGAAATATCTGTCACACCAGCCTGTTCCTGTTAATATTCTCTGTTTGTATGATTGTTAATTATCTGGTTTATTGTCTGTCTGGCTACCAGATTGGGAACTCCAGAAAATAAAGAAGTCTGTCTCCTTTCTTTCTCTTTTGTATCCAGTGGTTAGCAGAGTGCTGAATATATTACAAGCACTGAGTAAATATTTGTTATAAATAAAGTGAAGGCAATAGAAATAAAAAGAAAAAATCATTTTTCCATTGGTCATATGCATAGCCTATCAGAAAAAAATATTAAAATGAGAAGAACATATTTCATTATTTTTATCTAACAGTTAGAAAATTGCAGCCATGCCCTTGGCATGAAGAATATGTGTGTAACAGAATTGTAAGCAGAACCTCTCAGGCCCACTTAACAGTCTCGTTGCCTTTCTAACTGGATCACCTATCTGCTTTGTCTAAAGAGTGACATAAGAAGGCGGATATGTCCTCTAGAGCTAGAGGCAAGTTCGGGTCAGCTTCGGAAAACCATGAGATACCTTATTTCTGTTATAGGAGATTTATTGGCTTGGAGGAAAAATAACTACATCAGAAGATAAAGATTTTCTTTTTCCAAAAAAAAAAGATATTTATGTTAGTATATCATGCTATATATTATATATATTGTTTTATGTAGATGCTATATATTATATATAGGATATATATTATTATATATTGTTTATATATTTATACTAGCTTATCATGCTATATATAAATATTATATCTTTATAGTAGTGTATCATGCAATATATTAACTACTTTCTTACTTTTACATAACTTAAATATCTGATTACTATTCCATGAGAAAATATCAACAAAATAGATTTCTCTCCTTTATCTTCTCAGCAAGAATAAACTATAAGAGAGTACTACTATGTCTATTTAAATATCTTAAACCACATATTCGCTTTCAAAATTTTGGAACACACAAGTATAATATAAAGGATATAAATCAGACAGTGGAATGGAGTAAAATATTAGTATCAGTTATTTTCTCATTTTCTCATACAGAGACCTTTGGAGAAACAAACACAAGAAAAAAGACATAAAACTTAAGGAGCATTCATTTCTTTATTTAGGGAAAACATTTCTTAAATGTCTTTCTTTTTTTGTTTTTAAGAGGTGGTATGTTGGTGCTGATTCTAACCTAAACATATATTTGAGATCAGATTTATGAATTGCTTAGGATTGTATCTCCCTTAAATGACTGAAAGATTTTTTCATCATTATACGTATTTTTATCACATACATGTGTTTTAATTAGTACTGAGTGGATAGTGTGTAAAAAGTCATGTGTTAAACCTCAAATGCATGAGCAATGGGTCTAATCCACAAAGATATGGTATTGATATAAAATACAGAAATGATTATGTGACTTGTGGATGGAAGTGATGATCCTACAGGCATCAAATTTCATTTATCAAAAATGGATACTTGGTTTTGGTTCAGATCACTTGATCACATTATAATAAATAAGTATAGCTTAATACTATATTGATGTTCATAGGAACACAGCATAGAGAATAACTCACTACCTCTGAGAGCTACACGTTTATGGTTCTACTAAGTAAAAAGATTATTGGTGCTATCACAGTGAAATTTTAATCTAGATATAAAATTTTAATTCTGACAAAAAATTAGGAGAATTATATGAAAAGAAGGGAAGAGTGCTAGAGACAGAACTTCAACAAATTCTCTGCGGTTAGAGTAAAAGGAGATTGCTATGTTGCAAACAAAGATGCGGAATGATTAAACTTTTAAACTTTCAGTTCTTTTTTTTTTTTTTTTTTTTTTTTTTTTGACACAGAGTTTCGCTCTGTCACTCAGGCTGGAGTGCAGTGGTGCAATCTGGGCTCACTGAATCCTCCACCTCCCAGCTTCAAGTGATTCTCCTGCCTCAGCCTCCCGAGTAGCTGGGATTACAAGAGCCCACCACCATGCCTGGCTAATTTTTCGTATTTTTAGTAGAGATGGGGTTTGGCCATGTTGGCCAGGCTGGTTTCAAACTCCTGGCCTCAGGTGATCCTCCCACCTCAGCCTTCCAAACTGCCGAGATTGCAGGTGTCAGCCACCACGCCCGGACTAAACTTTCCATTCTAACAAGTCTATTTCTCTTTTAAATTAAGTAAACTATCCATTGCCTTCTCAACCTAATTATTCTATTTTAACATGTGTAATAAGGCAGTAATTCTTTTTTTTTTTTTTTTTTTTTTTTTTTTTTTTTTTGAGACGGAGTCTCGCTCTGTCGCCCAGGCTGGAGTGCAGTGGTGGGATCTCGGCTCACTGCAAGCTCCGCCTCCCGGGTTCACGCCATTCTCCTGCCTCAGCCTCCCAAGTAGCTGGGACTACAGGCGCCCGCCACTACGCCCGGCTAATTTTTTGTATTTTTAGTAGAGACGGGGTTTCACCGTTTTAGCCGGGATGGTCTCGATCTCCTGACCTCGTGATCCGCCCGCCTCGGCCTCCCAAAGTGCTGGAATTACAGGCGTGAAATAATTCTTATAATATACTTACATAGTCTATAAATTATATATACAAATGCTTATGGTGTTTTACTCTATTGTTGACATAAGAAGCTTATGTTTAATATGTCTAGTAACTCAAATAAAAACATATAGTGTCATATATTTTAAAACTCTAAACCAAACTCATGTATGCTATATCATACAAATATTGAGAGAAAGTGAACATAATTTTGACCTATAGTTTTTTCACAATTTTTTGAACTGCAGGATGTTTCATAGACTTTTCCTGTTTCTTACATTCAAATATTCAAATGTGTTTAATTCAAAGCTCCTTTTTAACATACTTACATTGAATTTTGCCAAGATTGAATAGAATTTGTGTGTGTGTGTGTGTGTGTGTGTGTGTGTGTGTGTTCATGTATGAACCATCATCTTTATGTCATTATCAAGAGACAGTAGTATTCTTATTGGGTATAAGATAGCTGTTTGCAAACAATCTTTAGTCCATGAACTATACTTTAAACAGAATTTGGATATATCACTTGATTAGGATGATGTAATTAATTTTAAATATTTTAGATCTTTTAGGAGATAAGTGTCTGTAGGTAGTTACACCTATGGAAAAAAAAACTAGACTTTTTTTTCTTTTAAATCTGTCGAAATAAAAATTTTATATGAATTTTTATATATATACATATATATCTCCAAATCACCAATTCCAAATCCTAATATTGAGAGTTTTAATATAGCTTACATATGAAAGCACTTGTATATTGACATTGACATAGACGTGACATACTGCCTAGATGGTAAGGATGATATTGGAGGAGATTTTCATAGTATTTCAGCATCCACAATGCAAGCACCAAGAGGGCAAGTTTTGTTCTATTTTTTGATCACCGAAATGTCCCCCCCCAGAACATTATATTGTACATAATGAGTATGCAATGAATATTTATTGAATAAATTAATAGAGATTTGTAAATGATCACCCTACTTAGGTTTTAGAGCGTTAAAATGAGAATGTAGGGATTTGGATGTTACTTGTCTGTGGAAGGTATGACAGAAGCCTAATATGTGAGCTGTTAAGGCAGTGTTATTGTCCTTCAATCAACTGTTTTACTGTTAAATGCTAAATTACTAATAAAAGTCAACACGTTACCAGAGTTTTATGTCCTAAAGGAGAATTTACAAAAATCAGATATTGTATATACTTCCTTGTGAAATCCTTGTATGATTTACAGAGCATTTCCATGAGATTGAAAAATAAGTTACTATAGTATCAATTTTACTCTGAAGATTTTTTTATCTACTCAGTCAACACTTCATAAATTATTTCCTTCAGCAGCATGCTTAGTAATAATGACGTAACTGCATAGACACAGCTGTCATGGTTCCTGTCCCTGGATCTTTCCTTTTGTGACAAAATTAAATAAACAAGCAAACAAAAAAATCCCAGATAGACACGTAAAATTAAATTGCTTTGTGATAAGTGCTTTAAACAAACTAAATGGACATTGGGAGTTTGAGGATTGAAAGACTCTGTAGTTACACTGATTAGATGAGCCAATTTTGAGAAGGTGGCATTTAAGCTGAGATCTGAAAGATGCAACTTAAACTTAAAAAGGGACTTTTGCCATTGGGATAGCGTCTGGAATATCTGCACAGGCAGGCATAGAGGACACTGGGAGAGAAAAAGGAAAAGGGTTACTACACCGTTGATGTGCAGCAATCAGTAGGGTTGGAAATGCTTGCATCTGATAGTTAGTACCCACTTATGAAAATGAAATATTCTGTCAAGTAATTATTATGAGGCTCTCAGTTTTGTACATTGTCCACCAATGATTGGGACGTTAAATTAACTGTCTAATATAGAGCAAACAAATTAAATTTTTCAGAATATCCAAACAAATGCAGTATATTTTTTTGTAAATTTGACGATATTTCTATTTTCTATTTATTTATTTTATACATGTTTCCCAGGATAGTCCGCTGGTCTTACAGTCTGACAGGAATGTCACAGTGAATGCAAGAAATCACATGGGGCAGTTAACCGGACAGCTGACCATAGGTGAGTGTTTTGGGGTAAAGATTGCTCCTACTGTGCTTGGTTTTTTTTGTTGTTGTTTTTGGTTTTTGGTTCTTGTTGTTGTCGTTGTTGTTGTTGTTGTTGTTGTTTTGAGACAGAGTCTCACTCTGTCACCAGGCTGGAGTGCACTTTGGGAGGCTGAGGCGGGCAGATCACGAGGTCAAGCAATCGGGGTCATCTGGCCTACTGTGCTTGTTTTAATTGAGAAAAGTGGAAGTATGTTATTTCCCTGATACATAACTCAACATTCCATTACAGCCCAATTTTCTTGCACATGATTTGACTTGTCATAGGCTAGTCATGTTTCCTGTATTTAGTAGTTATTACTCTTGCCAATGTATTATTTTGAGATTGAATTACATTTATTTTGCTGGTCATTACTCTTGAATTATGAAATGCACCATTTTTCTAAGAAATATTTTCATAGCATATGTTAAATTATAATAAATAAACTTAAGGAAACATGAGATAACATCATTAGGTCTGTGTATCCCTTTTCTAGGGGAAATATTTTCTAATAAATTGTATCTGCTTATATAAATTAGAAATTGCATGAGTATAATAAATATTAACATTTATCAATTACTTCTATATTTGATGTTGAAATTATATTTTAAGATTTATAGGCTTTATGTGTTGTTAATATAAATTAATGGTGAAGTATTAATTTTTTTCTCATAGCAAATAAATATTTTAATTTGGAGATTTATATCAAAATACAAGATTGATTCCTTGACTCAATTTTTATAAGAAGGCAAATAAGAAGTAATTTGTAATTTAAAGTTTTGATATGCATGTAGATTCTGAATTATTTTTGTAACACTGTATTGGTTCTGCAGAGAAATTACTTACCATAAACATTACATATCTGTTTATCTCTATCTAGTTATACATACATACACATATATATAGAGAGAGAGAGAATGAGAAAGAGGGAAAGAGAAAAGTAAATTACAATTTTGAGGACTGAGGTATTCTTATTTTAATGAGAAATTAATCATCTTTAAATGCAAATGTATATTTCCAATATTTCTAATTAAATTATGCAAAAATAATACATTTGAAATATGAGCTTTAGAAACATGAATTTTGATTCTGTGTACTTAATTTGTAGGTTTTTTTTAAATATTTGTTTTGATGAACCCAAAAAGGAGACATTTTAGCATATATGAATTTTCTAAAAATATAGTTTTATTTGTAAAAATTGCTTTGCTTTACATCATAAAAGTTTGTCATTACATATCTATTAATTGCTACAACTGGATAATATTTTGTGATAATTAGAGATATAGCAGTTATAGAGGGGTGCTATTAGCAAATGGATTCAAGATTAAATAAAAGAGATATGTGTATGGATATAGAACTGATTCAGAAGCAAGAACCATCCACTTAAATATTCATGCTGTTTCATTCCTGTTATGTTGGAACTGCAGAAACTATAGGCCTATGGAAACGGGCCTAACCTTAGTAGATTTTCCATGTCCTAATTTTCTTAAAGTTGAGAACTCTTCAGCCAGATAGAACTGCCTTTTGCATTCAGTCCTTGATATAAAAAGAAGTTCTTAGTAGAAATGTCAAAATGTAAATTAAGGGTCAGGCACGGGAGCTCATGCCTGTAATCCCAGCGCTTTGGGAGGCCAAGGCGGGCGGATCATGAGGTCAAGAAATCGAGATCATCCTGTCCAACATGGTGAAACCCCATCTCTACTAAAAATACAAAAATTATTTGGGCATGGTGGTGTGTGCCTGTAATCCCAGCTACTCAGGAGGCTGAGGCTGGAGAATCACTCGAACCCAGGAGGCGCAGGTTGCAGTGAGCCGAGATTGGGCCACTGCACTCCAGCCTGGGGAATAGAGTGAGACTCTGTCTCAAAAAAACGTAAATTAAGTGCACCAAGAATATATACCCATGCCCACTGTCAGACACAATAGCTACTTAATGCCCGCCTATAGAGCAAAGCAATCATTTGATTACGTGAAGTGCAAATACTGTTTGCATTTCACTGCATGCTTTCCTGCAGGAAATAAAGAATTTAGTGTGCTAGTATTTTCAGTTACCGTTCCAAACTGATTTTAATGTTATATTGGCATTTGCCAAATGAGAGAAAATAGCAAGAGGAGGACGGAGAAAGAAAAAAATGTTAAGCTGAGTTTTAAATGCAGCAAATTATTAAGTTAATGACACAGCAGCTTGTTGTGCGGAGAAATGCATTTATTCTACTGAGGCTTACACTTAAAAACTATTTAATATCCTGGTCCTTTGAGTGTATTTTTGATGACTTATGTATTTTTGCTGGTTTGCATATTTTAGTGAACATAGAACAAAAGAAGACTAGGGCTGTGTGAAAGGAGATAATGTATTCATATTTGAAACAAAGCCACAGGGAGCTATTTAGTAGTTGGTTGGGTGCCAATGAAATAGTTAATCTTTTGGACACTCCGTTTTCTCATCTCTAAAATGGGGATAATGACACATTTTGAATGCTGTTATAAGAAGTATGGTGTTGTCAGTGTCTACAAACGGTAGGGAATTGTATATTGAATCTATTATTGTGATGATGGTGAGTGTAATTATTGGTATCACTTAAGTTACAAATACAGTGATATTATGGGAGAAATCTCATGATGCTTTTCTATTCAGTGTATCTGTGTGATATTAGATAAGGTTGAATTATGGTACTGTTGAGAGATACGTTACAAAACACAACACAGAAAGTGTATCCCATGTTCAGAAACTCTTCAATTATGTAAGAATAAATTTACCTTTATGTAGAGTTTGAAGACATACTTGAATGAATCAAGCAATGTAGAAAAGTAAAATTTAATTCTAAAGACTCTAATTTTAATTGTGTATACATAAAGTAGCTGTTCTAACCCTCCTTGTCTATTTCTTTTCTTATTCTTTCAGTTTTTATGTGTATGGCCTTGGTTATAGTACAGTCATGATACTATTTTTGCAATATTAAAAAAATTAGCACACAAACTGAATAGTTAGGGAAAAGAATTTCAGTTACTCTTCATTTTCTAAGTAAAACAATTCTATTGTCTACCAATAGAATGCATCGATTTCTGTTAGAAAGGTATAGTCAATTCTAAAAACATAACAATTTGAGTATTTTCCATATTTTATTCTCATTGTACCATTTTTCCTCAAAAATATATGTAAGTAGTTTCAGCAAAGCGAATATCCATTCCTCTTGTACCCCACCTTTTTCTTTCTCTGTAAGCCTAGCTTCCTACTAATTCCACTCACAGGGATATATGTAGTCCAGTGATTAGGCCATCCTATGTACTAATTCTAATCCTGACTCACTGATAGAATTTTAAATCAAATTATTTCTAATACAATAAATGCAAAAGAGAAATATTTTATATGTTTCTGGCTCAAGCCTAACAAAAACTAAATCTAAATATTTTAAAACTTTAGGTAGAAAAATCAATTTGACAGATATTTTCTGTGAATTGATGAAGTTCCAGGCTTTATGAATTTGACCAAATAATATCCAATTTCCCCCACTAAGTCTAGGATTCTAATTTTCTTGACCTTCATAACATTGGAGGAGATTGATGAACTCAAGATTTCTTCCTCCAAATTTCTCTTCTTAGAATAAAGCTGAAAGAGAGGAATGAGATTGTTGTTGAGAAGTGGTTAAAGAAAGTACAACATCCCAAGAGGTCAGACTCCTTGAAGAAAAAGCAAGAACTTTCTTAAACGAGTCTCAGAACCATTCTCCAGGTCAAAATTTTCTATTTAATCTATAATTATTATGTTTTTTAGCAGAATATTATTTTTCTTTTATAGGTGAAAAAAGTGTTTGACTTTAGGTGTGTTATATATTCATATATGTTGATAACATGATGATATTTTCCATGACTTTCTATCAAAAAAGTGGGCAAAGGATGTAAATTATGCACCATCTTTGTGAAATTTGTTTTATTATCTCAGGAAAGATATATATAGAATATATATATATATCTATATTTTATATAGAATAAAAATCTTTATGGTAGTATAAATAAAGTATTATGCAGTTTTTATACAGACTTTGTTTACAACGCTACTAATAATAATTCTGTAGTAATTTGGATCACTGAAAATGTAATACTGTTTCCCACAATATCATGAGGATAATTATATTTTATTTATCAATAACATTACATTGATATTTAACATACTATTTTTAAACTACATTTATAAGTAGTTTACAAAGTATAGGTTGATTTCAGTAAAATAATTTCTCCTTTAAAAAACTTAGCCAGCATGGCTGTTATTAAGCTATATATTGCTTTTTCTTATATTACAAAATATCTTTTATTTTTGATGAAGTAATAGCTAAAAACTAATATTTTATTTTCCTTTCTCATGTGCCTTATGCTGTCAGTCTATAGCTGAAGGATAAAAATGAAAGGAGGATAAATTCAGAAACTGGAAAAAGAATAATCTTAACTGGTAGAGCTAGCTTTGTGTTTTGTGTTTTGTTTGTTTATTTGTTCGTTTTGTTAGCATTCCTCATTTAAATTCTAGTCCCAATGACTTTTGAGATACTTATTATGGCTACTTATGGGGCCCTATGTCATAAACAAGAAGAAGTTCCACAATCCCACATCTATATTATTATCCCAGTAAAACATTAAGGTGAATTGGGTATTAAAAAACTGAATGTCATTCTTCTGAAATTTTAGTTTTAGAGTGTGCTTAAAACCACAGTCTTATGCTTTAAATAGGATCTTGTATTTCATCATAGGTATCCTTGTTTAATGCTCAATAAATTTGGAAGAATGAATTCTGAATGAACTAACACCTAGGGAAGCCTTGCTGTTATTGTCAGAATCATTTACTTGTCTTTGATATTCTGCTAAATGACGAGTTAATGGGTGCAGCACACCAGCATGGCACATGTATACATATGTAACTAACCTGCACATTGTGCACTTGTACCCTAAAACTTAAAATATAATAATAATAAAATAAAAAATAAAAAACAAAATCAGTGGCATAACCAAATTGTATAAAAATCTTAATTATAATCTTTAATTTCTCATTTTCTGTTTTTCCTCAGTAATTCTTGAAACTTAGGGCTTAAATAAGCCTGACTATATGTTAATAAGGAAGAATGTCATTTGCAAGCAATTAAACAAAGTGATATTTGTATTTATTATGAGTTTCCTTTTTCATATTTTACACTTTGAGCAATTAACATCACTTAACAATAGAAACTGTTGTAAACAGCTTTTGTAGCAGAGTTGACTGGTTTCTTCAGAGATCTGAGGTGCTTGCCTTCTTTGTCCAAGAAGGTTTATGAAGTCAGGAAGTAGAGATAATGATAATCAGATGGGCCACAATAAAGGTTTCAAGATTGTTCATTTGCACTTCTCAGAGTGTGTCAATCAGCTACACACTTAAAAATTGAAATTAAATATATATGTATATATATATGATGAAAGAAGATTTGTTTGATTAGAAAATTGGTCATTAGGATTCTGAAAGTAAATAATTTTGAAAATTTGTTTTCCTGTATTTTTTGAGTCAATGTCTATTAATAATAGCATCCATGTTGTGAAATAACTTCCTTTTTAAAACTATGTAAGTTTATAAAAAGATACACATATATCTAAAGTTTCTATTAGTAAATGTTTACTCATAAGAAGGCATCTCTATCTTACAGAGTAATTAAACTACAGTGATGTTCCTGGTAATAAAGGGGTAAAAGGAAATGTAACCAAATGATCCCACTGTGCTTTAAAAGAACGCATATGATCTTATGAGAAACAAACACGTTTTTCTCACATGTGCTGAATAAAATGTACATTTTGTTTAATAGGGAGAAATCTGGATGATATGCCCTATTTTTAACAACTCTACATTAAAAGAATCATTGAGCCTAGTAATCCTCTGACAACATGCTTTAAAGAATGCTGGATTCATAACAAAAAGGGTAGTTATGTAAAATAATTGTGGATGGGAGACAAATGAACAGAGCATGTTTATTGGTCCAACTCAATTCAGAAAAAAAAAATCTAGACTTAACTGCAAGACATGGTGTGTGTGTGTCTTTTAAATACACTTTAAATTATGCATAATTGGACCTGTGTTTGCCATTGGTCAATTGAGGTGAGATCTCAAAACATTAGTGACTGTGGCTGGACCTGTTTGTTTCTGAAATAACATGACCTCATGATGAAATTGATATTGATGAAATTCCTTAAAAAAGGCTGAAGACCTTCCCTAAGACTCTTAACTGGGCCAGTGCCCCTCTGCCCACCTCCAACATTCAAGACAGACACACTCTCTCTCTCTGTCTCTGTCTCTCTCTCTCTCTGTGTCTCTCTCTCTCTCTCTCTGTCTCTCTCTCTCTTTCCCCCTCTCTCTCCCCACTACACACACACACACACACACACACACACACACACACTTGCCCAAAGAATCAAAGCAAGGAAAGTACTAGGAAGCAAAGTCAGAGTCAGGACACCTTTTAGAAAAAAGATTTCCCAGTCCATACACATAGGCTGATTAAAACCTCAGCATTTTAATTCATGCAATATACTCCAACATAATTTGAGTCTGGATATATTTTTTAAAGTAATTTCTATTCATTTACCACGTTGAAATAAAATCTCAGTAATGTATGCAATTTGTACAACCACGTATGTTTAAGGGAAACTATATTCCTTTACTTTTTAACCAGTAGATACTCTTTCGTGTTTCACAAATTTAAGTTATTCCAAAATTGCACCATATCAAACACAAAACATGTTTACTAGAAAGGCACTTTGATTATTAAGAGATGTTTGAGTAACCACCCCCCCACCACCACCAAAAAAAAAAGAAGGAAAGAAGACAAGAATATATGTTCAATTAAAATTATTAAAACATGTAGGAATATATAGATTTTCACTAATAATATTGTGGGGACAATCATATGATGTATACAGTATGTAAAAATGTCATGGAGAGTATTTTCATGTGGAAATCATGATATCTTCAGAAACTATTTTTAGGAAGGACGTATACTTCACCAATTAATGGCATGGATTTTGGAGACTGCTAAATCCCAGATCTGTCAACTGCCCGCTATGTGACCTTATGTACATTACTCCAGGCATCCGTTCCAGGTTTCTGTGGGGAATATGAGTATTTGCCTCATATAGTAGATGTGAAAATTAAATATGTTAACATATAGTAAGGTATTGGAACGCTTCCTGGAGCATAGTATGCATTATGTATAAGTTAGTGATTGTGATTTTTTTGTTCACACTGCATGTGTACTACTCTATACACATGACCAAGTCTCTGGGATTTAGTTGCCTTGTGTATGAAATGAGTCTGTTTTGCTAGATTGTCTCCACGACTCTTTTCTGTTCCAAGTCTAAATAATGAAAAACTACTTTTTACCTTTGGAGAAGGGAGTCAGTTGATGAATCTACTGGTCCTTACGTTCCTCAATATTCAATTATCCTGACAAAATGCCATCTGATTTGATGTTTTGACATCTTAGCCATAGAGCATAGGCACGTATTTTGTGCAAAAATTTAAAATGAAGAAGGTAAATGAGCACAACTAAATCAACATCCTAGCTATGCTTTTACTCTTTCATCAAGTTATGGCATATAAAAAGTTTTATTTTTCAATGAAATTTAATCCACAAAACAGTTTAAGTCCAATCGGCTTATTTTTGTTAGTGCTAAGCATAAACATGTTTTTGTTCCTAAATGAATGGAGAAAAAATGTAGATGAGGGTTTTATAATAAATATTTAAAGACCCTGAAAATGACATGCAATCTTGCGTTAAAGCAATTACAGTGAACACCTGGGAATCATTTAATTGACTGCAGATGGTATAGGATGTATAAAAAGTAGAAGGTTATGGATTATTCTCAGGTTCCAAATTTATGTTTTTTTTAATTGACTCTTTTTTTTTTTTTAACTTAGAGAATGTTGTAATAGTCTGGGATAATTTAATAAGAATGAATGTTTGATGTAAAGTGAGTTGTGCAAATCTTGAAGGATAGATTAACAAAATACTTAGGTTTAATACTACATATACATTTCAAATGATTAAATGCATTGTTGATTTTGAGTTCATTATTAGTTAATTCATGTTAATAAATTTATAATTAATTAATCCATTTGAGGAAATTGTAAGTTGAAGTAGATGCCTGTGATATCAGGACAAGGATGTCACGCTTTAGAAATTAGAGCTCTCAGTCTTTGTAACTCAGGTGTAATGAGAATTATGTCTGAAGGAAAGACACTAGTGATCATGTTTTGAAAAGTTGTATCAAAGGAGTATTTATATTATTTTTTAAACATCCTGAATCATTATACCAATGCCTCAGAGATGCTCATTGTTTGTGTCCTACAAACAGAAATATGGACTGGCTGAAATATTTAATTAAATTGACAATTATTTGTACAGATAGAAGTGCAGAATCAGGGAATTCTAGAGATTTTCCTTCCTGGAGGACCTAGACTAAAACCTGAAAGAGACGGTTTGGCTGGTCATCTTCAACCTTTGCTGGCTTGCTCCTTCTCTTTCCAAGTACCCTATGCCCTTGTTTAACATCAATCACTGCAGTTCTACAAAGCCAGCTCCGCTTAACAGTGCTCTGTGCTGTGGTCCTAAAGACCATTCTTGCATGGCATTGGCCTCTACTTCTCAAGACCAAGGGTAGCTAATCTGGTAAAATCATTCATGCCTATATGTCAATGAATACTATATCTTTGAAATTTTTCCTTTTCCAGACAAAATATACATATTTGAATATATGGCCTTTGGTAACAGTAACTTTAGTTGTTAAAGTAATTCTAGTCTTGAGGGTATATAAATGAGGGTGATAGGATAAAGTGACAAACTGTGCCTCTTTTAAGACATATTGTAAAGGTGTCCCACTGCTTTATTTTAGCACTACTTAGGCCGCCCCCATCTCCTTATATATTAATAAAAAATATAATACAAGTTTATTTCAATAAATATAATGCACAGACTAATTATTTCTTAAGTGCACAATACTGCAGAAATCACTAAGCAGATGAATAAACATTTTATTAATTTGATAATTATATAAGTTTATTCAAAATATGAGTATATCTCTAGTGTTTGAATTTTAATATTAAAGTAATTGTGATAAAATAGAAATGATATATTACAGAGCCAGTTAAAGGATAAAAGTAAAATAAGTTAAACAAAGTAAGAAAGGAGTGGCTTTAAATTTTCTCTTTTAGATATTTTATTAGACCTTATGACTACATACCTTATCTGAAATTAATGAGTCTATAGCTTATATACTTAACCAAGTATTGTTTTTAATGAGGCTTCCTTTGTGGGACGTCGGAATTGCAGGTGCATTGGAGTTCCATATATAATTGTCTTATGGAACATGCAGTTTTGTGTTTGCCTTGATAAGAAACATGTCTTTGGAAATTTGGTTAATGGGGCATAATGTTCACTAATGTAAGGTTATGGGAATAATTATCTGAAAACATCTGGAGGCAGGAAGCTAAATAAAATTTAGGAGTCCATATGTACACAGAAGATCATTCACTTCAGTATTAGGGTTCCTAAATGAGGTGGCACCCAAGCCCAGATGACTGCACAACAATACTAATTGCCTGGTCATGGGGTAGAGAGAGAGAGAAGCTAGGGGGAAACCATTACTTATGATCTAGGTCTGTTAACTACAGTTACGTTTTTGTCCTGACTTTCACTTTAGATTTTGTGTCTATTCTTGTATTTAGTTTTGGGAAAATTCCAAGTCAGATAATGCATATACCAGAAAAATAAACCGTAGTGGGAATAGAAAATTGAGCAAAGGAAGAGGAGAAAATGAACCCCAGCTATTCTTCTGTTTCCAAGTATTTATTAGACTCCTGACAACATATATTTCATAATGAGGAAACAGTATTACCCAAATCTCTTCAGATTTCTTAAGATTGTTATGAATCCCTTAATCAGCATTCTTTGGTTAAAATATTTAATCAGTTCTGAATTCATTTGCAACCTGTGTTTCCAATATTATTTCTAGATATTTTATAATATATTTGCCTGTAGTTAAGAATTTTTAATACTATATGATCCCTCTATGTTTTGATCCAATAATCCTATGGAAAAAATGAAAAATCTCATTTTGTCATGGCTTATTTTGATTCTGAGGTCACATATTAGCTGTTTTGTTTTCAACATGCTCACAAACCCATCAGTCTATTGTTTAATGTCTTTCCTTCCTTTACCCTTCCCAAAGGAATTAGAACATGTTAATAATTCATAAATTTTGGAGATCACCTTTTCTCATGTCATAATTAGAATAAAGAAAACTGTTTGCATTCTTACATTTTTTTTGCCATACTTCATTTTTCTACAAAGATTATTGAACGTAATTCAGAGACCAGCCTGCCACTCCAGGGAAGCAGGCATTGCAGACTAAGAAAATGTGCTTTCTTTCCTCATATCTCTTCCAGAGGTCCTTATGATTCCACCTCCTTATTCTTCTCACTTGCGGGCTGATTGCTCACCTAACCTGTGAGCTACTAATTGAATCAGTAAATCTATCAGCTACCTAAAGCACACTAGAGTATTATAGGTAAATGTATCTGGGGAAGAAAGCCTTCAATATTACACATTAAGAAATTGACCATACCTGTTTTCACATTTCAGGCTTTGAGAAATCATAAGTCATAAGTATAGTGACTAAAATAAAAGATGCAGACAATACTGTGTTAGATTGGATACAAAGCTACTGGAACTTTTATACTCCTGCTGCTAGGAATGCAAAACATTACACCTTTCTAAAAACACAGTTTCCCTGTTCCTATCAAGTTAAACAGGCAACTACCATATGGTCCAATAATCTCACTCCTAGGTGATTGCCCAAGTTAAATAAAAACATGTTTACACCATAAAGTTTCTATAGATATTCACAGCAGCTCTATCCACAATTGCCAACAACGGGAGTCAACTCAAATATCCTTCAGCAAGAGAATGGATGAATGCACTGTGCTATGTTAACACAGTGGAATGGTATTCAACAATTTTTTAAAAAAGCTATTGACATTATGTTAGGTAAAATAAGTCAGTCTGGCAGTTTACATACTGTATGATGGCATTTATATGACGTTCTTAAAAGGACAAAACTATGGTAAAACCAGATTCATGCGTAGTTCACAGGGATGGTATGGGGGAGGGTTTAGGTACAAAGCGATAGCACAAGAGAGTTTTCTGAGGGTGATGAACCTGTCCTATATTTTGACTGTAGTAATGATTACACAGCAATCTGCATGTGTTAGGATTCACAGAAGTATACACCGAAAATTGACTCTATAGTAACTTGAAATACTTTTTAAGTTTTTCCCAAATTTACATGATGTCTGTCTTTTTTTATATATAACTTAACATTCTGAATACTAATATTTTCTTCATGCAACTATGTAAGGAAATACTGCACTTCAGGTCCAGTGGGGAATTTATCCTGTATGCCTGGGTTTTTATAACCCTGCTTGACACATGGTAGCCCCCCAAATAAGTGTGGAATAAGTGATTAGAATATCACTTATACCATCGTCCTTTTCAAAATATACCTTATGATTTCATGGATTTTGTCAAATAAATTGTGGAAACTTTTGATAAGGTCTATGATACGTGTGTAACTTTATTTCTTTCAGAGGTATCATAAAATGTATAATAAATGCTTGTCGGTCGCAAAGATTCTCATTATTGAAATAACTCAAGCCTTCTTATTGATTTAAAGCAAGTTTAGACCAGTCTCATTTCATTTTCAATCTTAAGGCTGATAAAATTATTTCCAAATAATTTCCAGTTGAGGTGGCCATCATTGCTGTTGGCTTCGTCTGTTTTTATGTCACCTATATCTGTTATCTGACTAAGTGTGTTATGTGCTCATTATACATACAATGAGCTTTTATTATACATGCTCCTTTAGCATATCACATATATGTGGATAACACCCAAATCTATCCCTCTGACTTTTTCTGTCTTTTTCTTCTAGCATAAAACCCAATGAACCAATTAGTATTATTATTTTTGGCTATGATTACACCTGACTATCATGTTGATTTCTAATTCAACATTAATCTTTTACTGGGTATTTTAAAAACACTAAGTGGTCATTTATCTCAGCCTCAATTTTTAGTATTAAAAGATAGTGGTACCTAAGTGTATTTTCAACACTAATATTTCATATTTGCTGAGAGTTTTTTTAAGTTTAACAAAACTAATCAGCTTACCTTCAAAACCCAGCTTTTCTTTTTTATATTCTCACACATAAACAGCAGATCATTTAGAATAGCCCATAACTTTTGGGGGTACAACATTAAATAGGTCACCTCTGCTATGAGTAACCTTCTTAAACCACAATAAAAATAGAAATTATCTATCATCTTCATTGGTTAAAATCACATTATCACATTGATAAGAGGAAAGAGATGAATGCAAGTAACGTAAAACTAGTACAAACTACATATACTCCATTGAATAAATTTATGATTCTTAGGAATAAGTAGCTTTAAAAGAGAATGCATTTAGAATGTAAAAAGAAGATATGTGGCAAAGCTGATTTAGTGTCAAACAGAAGTTCACAGGGTTACTGGCTGCATGTAGAAAATGATGAACACCAAATATGCCTTTGCAAAATAAACCAAAGTAATTTCTTTATGTAGAGAATATTTAGTGGCTTGAGGAAAACGTTGGTAGGGTCACAGTATAAGTAACAAGAGCAAGTAGTTTTGAAATAGAATTTGATAAGTGTTTCCAAGAAAGAATATTAGGTGGTGTTACAAGTAATTTAATGATGAATATGATCTTAAATGGACCTGCTGGCCTCCTTCCATTCTCTACTTTGCTATGCCTCTTACTCCCTGGCCATTTTATAATTTTTATGGTGACACAATAAAAGCTTTTCTGTGTCAGACCTTCCACAGATATGAACTTACTGTTTTTCTGTCTTTCTGCGTAGCCAACGTAATAAAGTAATAAATAAATATTTTAGCATAATTGAGCTTTCACATAGGGAAATATTTCCAGATGCACAAAGTTGCATAATATATACTAAATGGTGACCCTGATTTTTATCACAAAGCCAGGGCAGCGCAGCTAGAATGTTTAAAGGATTTTCCAACTCACTGCTGCATCCCTTTCACCTTCAGAGCTAGAGATATTCCCTCTATGTCTGCCCCTAGCTCACACTCACCATAGTACCTGGTACTAATCTTATCTGCTGACAAGGAGAATACTGAACCTCATTGCAATGTCACTATTGGTTCTTTTCTACCCTTGGTATTTCCATCCCCTATTAAATGAATTTCTGGATGTACTAGTGTAATGATTAATTGTATCCTTTGTCAGCAAATGTAGTTTGCATATGAAAGGCCTAGGTTCAAGTTCAGTCCATATTGTATCATTTTAAAATAAAAGTCAAACTTGTGTACATTATTTGTTTTGAAAAGTTCCTTTAAGTTTGAGCTAAGGGTACCAGAATAGTGTCAAAGATGTGCTTTATTATGTAAATTAGAAATAAACTGATGAATAGGTACAAGTTGAGGGTGTCCAGTTGACTTCTCTGTGCCTCCGTTTCTTAAACATAAAATGAACATTTTAATAATATCTATGTACTGGAGTTATGTTGATGATTGAGATGGGATAAGTGAAACTCTTTTCACATTACTGGAAAAGTGTTAACTGCTATCACTATTAGTAATACTAATATTCATTTCCTAGTGGGAGAAAAAGCAGAAGGTAGTTTTTATTCAGAGTTACCCTACTTTATTTTGGATGGTGTGAATGATTATCCAAAGTAATATTTAGTTCTAGTATCTTTAGTTTGTTAAGGGTTATCACTTGATTTATCAGAATAGGCAGGTGGTTCCGTGGGTCATGGCATTCATGAGAATGCTGCTGGGTGCTAAGCAGCATTAAATTACCTATAGCATCTGTCCCTTTAACAAATAACTGACAGGACATTGAAGTTTTATATTTATTCCCTGTTAGTTCCAACAGCTCACTAATTCTGTTAAAATATATATATATATTGGTCTAGATGTGACTGTTTTAGATGAATATAAAAATGAGTAGTAAATTGAATTCTATTAATTGAATTACTTTACATCAATATTCATTGAAAATATATATTGAAAAATAATCTGAACTCTATAGTATATGTCTTTATTTATTAAAGTTATCCGTTCTCTCTAAAATTAACTTACAAATGTAAAGCAATTCAAATGAAAATACTAGTGATGATGAAATGTTTCCAAAGTATTCTCATTAAATGAAAAAATATGAGAAAAATTTAATAGTGTGCACCAAATATCACAAGCACAATCATTAGTACAGTGTGGAATTAGTATAGGTATTGAAAATCAGTAACAATACAGTAAGGGTAAAACGTACAAAGGAACCATATATCTGTGATAATTCGATGTAAGATGAAGATGTCCTTTAAAACCTCTGTGACGGGCCGGGGGCAATGGCTCAATCATGTAATCCCAGCACTTTGGGAGGCCGAGGTAGGTGGATCATGAGATCAGAAGTTCGAGACCATCCTGGCCTACATGGTGAAACCCTGTCTCTACTAAAAATACAAAAATTAGCTGGGTGTGGTGGTACGTGCCTGTAATCTTAGCTACTGAAAAGGCTGAGACAGGAGAGTCTCTTGAACCCGGCATGTAGAGGTTACAGTGAATGGAGATCACCCACTGCACACCAGCCTGGGCGACAGAGCAAGACTCTGCCTCAAAAAAAAAAAAAAAAAAAAAAAAAAAAAAAAAAAAAATCACTGTGACTGAGAGAGGGTGGAATTAGTTATTAAATAAGTTAGGTAGGTAAAATTGGTTAATAGTTTAGAACCAAACATTAAGTCTCTTCATCTTTATACAATAAAACAGTAAATTGTCCATGGAGTAAAGTTTCATTTTTCGATTCAAAACAATAAATAATGGGAAAAAAAATCTGTTAGAAGAGTTTTCTGATCTTCGTGGGAGAATATCCTCCAGAATACATAATCTGTCAGAAGCTGCAGAAGGAAGGATTTACTGATTTATATGCATGAAAGTTAAGATTATTCTGGAGGTCAACACCCCCTAAAACAAAACTGAAGTGGCCGGGCACGGTGGCTCACGTGTGTAATCTTAGCACTTTGGGAGGCGGAGGTGGGTGGATCACAAGGTCAGGAGCTCAAGACCAGCCTGGCCAAGATAGTGAAACCCCGTTTCTACTAAAAATACAAAAATTAGTTGGGTATGGTGGTGGGTGCCTGTAGTCCCAGCTACTCGGGAGGCTGAGGCAGATAATTGCTTGAACCCGGGAGGCGGAGTTTGCAGTGAATGGAGATTGCGCCACTGCACTCCAGCCTGAGCAACAGAGCAAGACTGTGCCTCAAAAAACAAAACAAAACAAAAAAACAGCAACAACAACAACAAAAACCTGAAGTAATGTAAATAACAACTAAAGCTAAAGTACCATCTCATTGGAGATTCTAAAGAAGTCTTACAGTAGGTGGTGGCAATAGCCCTTTCAGTTTGTTGGGGGTACTTCTGTTGTTGGCATACATTTATTCCAATCTCTCCTGGGTTTGAGACCCCACTTCCACTTTTTTTTTTTCTTTTGAGACAGAGTCTCACTGTGTCACCCAGGCTGGAGTGCAGTGGCATGATCTCGGCTCACTGCAACCTCCACCTCCCGGGTTCAAGCGATTTTCCTGCCTCAGTCTCCCGAGATTACAGGCACACGCCATTACACCCAGCTGAGATTACAGGCACACGCCATCACACCCAGCTAATTTTTTATATTTTTTGTACAGATGAGGTTTCACCATGTTGGCCAGGCTGATCTTGAACTCCTGACCTCAGGTGATCTGCCTTCCTCGGTCTCCCAAAGTGCTGGGATTCCAGGCATGAGCCACCACACCCGACCCCACTTCTTATTTGAATCTAAACTATGATAACTAACTGTGGGATTAACATATACACAATTGTAATGGTAATTCAAACAATCCATGTATATAAAGCAGGATGCCTGTTATGTCGAAACTGCAATATGTAAGTTACTGCTGCTAGTATTTTTATTTCAGTGCATTGGTTCAGTATTATTTTGACTTAAGAGATATTTATGGGTGCCACCATATTTCAGGCACTGTGGTAGGAATGGATACACAACACAGCAAAAACAACAATTGCCTCTCCTGAAAATTATAGGTGTCAACCAATAATTATAAACCATGTGTGTAAATTTACATTTAAAATTTATACGTAAGGGCAAAGGAAGCTTTTAGTAATTCATAGATTGTCTTTCAACGTATGCTTTCCTTGTTCAGAGCTACCATTTTTCTAGAAGTGAACCAAATCTCCCTCTCCTGGTTTTACACACACATACACATATGCTTACACAATGACATACACACATAAGACATTGCTTATAGATTTTATGTACATTTTGAATATGTAGGAGTGATTTATATTTCCGTTTATTGGCATTTTTTTCCGTCAAGGCTCCTAGCCTCTGTATTTCATGAGTTACCTCTACTTGGGCTTCCCCATGAAATTCTATTTTTTTTTTCTATATTAGGCACACCAAATAAATACTGAAACTCTAAGTTCATGTCCAAAGACTCAGGATTGTGTTATCTTAACAATGACAACATGGTTACTTCCAACATCTACAACTTAAGATAACAAATTTTGAAATGCTATTTCCTTTTTTGCTTCCCACACCTTTAAATGGTAGAAGTGGCTACAATCTTTTTTTAAGGTCCGATTATTTTGTTTGTTTGTTTGTTTGTTTTTGGCAGAGTATCCCTCTGTCGCCCAGGCTGGAGTGCAGTGGTGTCATCTCAGCTCACTGCAAGCTCCGCCTCCCGGGTTCACGCCATTCTCCTACCTCAGCCTCCCGAGTAGCTGGGACTACAGGCAGGCACCACTACGCCCAACTGATTTTTGTATTATTTTTTTTTAGTAGAGACGGGCTTTCAACATGTTGGTCAGGCTGGGGTTTTATTATCTTATAACACATACACAGAAAAGTAAACAAATCTCAAAGGCGTCCCCTGAGGGATTTTTACAAAGTGAAGGCAGCAGTGCACCTAAGATCACGGTCAAGATCTAGAACAGCACCCCAGAAGCTCAGGACTCTACCATCTGCTTTCTCTCAGTTACTACTCTCAAAGCTAAACCATTATTTGATTTTTGAAGTGTATATAAATAAATTCACATATGATACATTATTTTGCATCTGACTTTTTTTCTCGTAATATTATGTCTCTGATACTCCACAATGATTTTGCATAGTTCATTACCATTGCGCATGGTAGTTCCATTCATAAATACACTACAATTTATCCATTCTACTCCTATTGAAGTTTTCAGTTCAGTTCAGTTGGGGCTGTAGTAGTGTCACAAAAAGCCATTCTTCTGCCTCCCTTTTGGTGTACGTTTATATGCATCTTTTTGATATATAACTAGAAATAGAAGCACCGATCTATTAGGTTGATGCAATAGTAATTGCATTTTTGGACCGTCAATGTTAAGTCACTATAACTAGGCTCAAACACATCTTTATTAATCAAAATGAGAACCATTACAATCAACACATTTTTGTCAATGAGAAATAAAGTTTGTTCATTCCTGTGAGATTAAAATCTGTGCTTAGGGATTCAAAGAACTCTTGAAAAGCATTTTCTGCATCCTACTGGTTGTAGAAACGTTTTCCCTACAAGAAATTTTCGAGGTGCTTGAAGAAGTGGTAGTCGGTTGGCAAGAGGTCAGGTGAATATGGTGAATGAGGCAAAACTTCATAGCACAATTCATTAAACTTTTTTTTTTTTTTGAGACGAAGTCTCACTCTGTCGCCAGGCTGGAGTGCAGTGGTGCGATCTCGGCTCACTGCAACCTCCAGCTCCCAAGTACAAGTGATTCTCCTGCCTCAGCTTCCCGAAAAGTTGGGACTATAGGCACGCGCCACCACGCCCAGCTAATTTTTGTATTTTTAGTAGAGACGGGGTTTCATCATGTTGGCCAGGCTGGTCTCGAACTCCTGACCTTGTGATCTGCCCGCTTCCGCTTCCCAAAGTGCTGGAATTACAGGCGTGAGCCACTGTGCCCAGTTCTCATTCAACTTTTGAAGTGCTGGTTGTCCAACGTGCAGTCGGGCATTGTCTGGATTAGAATTTGGCCCTTTCTGTTGACCAATACCGGCTGCAGGCATTGCAGTTTTTGTTGCATCTCATCAACTTGTTGAGCATACTTCTCAGATGTAGTGGTTTAAGCGGGATTGAAAAAGCCGTAGTAGATCCGACAGGCAGCAGACCATCAAACAGTGACCATGACTTTTTGTGGTGAGAGTTTGGCTTTGGGAAGTGCTTTGGAGCTTCTTCTTGGTCCATCCACTGAGCTGGTCATCACTGGTTGTCATCAAAAATCCACTTTTCTTCGCACATCACAATCCAATTGAGAAATGGCTCATTGTTGCTGCATAGAGTAAGAGGGCACTTCAAAAGAACAATTTTGTTTTTAATTTTTGCTGAGCACATGAGGCACCCACTTATCAAGCTTTTTCACCTCTCCAGTTTGGTTCAAATGCCAAACAACCATAGAACGGTCAACGTTGAGTTCTTTGGCAATTTCTCCGTGTAGCTGTAAGAGAATCAGCTTTGATGACTGCACTCAATTGGTGGTCGTAGACTTCAATGGCTGGCCTCCAAAGTCCTCATCGCCAAGGTTCTCATTGCTTTGGCAAAACTTCTTGGACCACCACAACACTGTACATTCATTAACGGTTCCTGGACCAAATGCGTTGTTGATGTTGTGAGTTGTCTCTGCTGCTTTACGACACATTTTGAACTCAAATAAGAAAATGGCCGGAGTTTGCTCTCTAACATCATTTCCATAATCTAAAATAAATATAAAATAAACAGCAAGTAACAAGTCATTAGCAAGAAAAAATAAAGTGAGAAATGCACATTAAAATGTCATTTAACATAAACACATTTAAGAATGCATTCCACTGTCACACAAAATTTAAACAATGCAAAACTGCAATTACTTTTGCATCAACCTGATATTAAGCAATTTTTCAGAAACTTTTGTCTTTACAAGATTGAGTTTTCTAATCTGGGAACAGATAATGTCCCCCCTAATTGTTTAAGTCAGTTTTTTCTTTCAGCAATAACTTAATACTTTCTGAAAAAGAACATGAACATCTTTCATTAATTTTCTTCCTAGAGTTTTTCTTATTTATGTTTTTGGAACTGGTATACCTTTTAACATTTCATTTTCTAATTGTTGCTAATACAGGAAAATGCAAAAGTGTTATATTGACTTTGTGTTAGAAATACACATACATTTTAATAATTTGTATGTTCTTTACTTTCTATGAACAAGATTATATCATCTGAAAGAAGTAATTTTATTTATATCTCTTACTATTTTAAATGCTTTGCCTTATTATACTGCCTAGGGGGACCAGTTCAAAGTTAAGTAGAGTGGTCAAGTAGATATCCTTTCTTGTTCCTAGGCTTGGGGGAAATTTTTCAATATTTTACCCTTTGGTAAAATGTTTTCTCTGTATTTTTTGCAGACTCTGTTACCAGATTGAGAACACTTCCTTCTTTTCCTATTTTGCACTTTAAAAAAATCTTTAGTTGGCCGGGCGTGGTGGCTCACACCTGTAATCCCAGCACTTTGGGAGGCTGAGGCGGGTGGATCACTTGAAGTCAGGAGTTCAAGACGAGCCTGGCCAACATGGTGAAACCTTGTCTCTACCAAAAATACAAAAAATTAGCTGGGCGTGGTGGTGTTCACCTGTAATCGCAGCTACTTTGGAGGCTGAGGCAGGAGAATTGCTTGAACGCAGGAGTGAGACGTTGCAGTGAGCCGAGATCACACCGCTGCACTCCAGCCTGGGTGACAGAGACTCTGTCTCAAAAAAAAAAAAAAAAAAAAAAACTTTAGTTGAATTTAAATGTTCTCAAGTGTTTTTGCTTCATCTCTCAAAATCATCATGTGCTTTTTTTGTTTATGAGGTGAACTCATTAGCTTTTATTCTGAAATTATTGATTCACGGGAAGTGCCATATAAGTGTGCAAAGAGGTTCCCCACACCTTTCACCCCACGTCTTACAATGTCATCTCTTATGTAACTATACCATACAATATCTATGCCAGGAGATTGACAATAGGCGTTTCTTTAGATTTAACCAGTTATACATGTATCCATTTGTATGTGTGCGTGTGGGTGTGTGTGTGTATCTATAGAGCTTTTTTTTTTTTTTTTTTTTTTGAGATGGAGTCTCACTCTGATCCCCAGGCTGGAGTGCAGTGGTGCAATCTCGGCTCACTGCAACCTCTGCCTCCCAGGTTCACGCCATTCTCCTGCCTCAGCCTCCCAAATAGCTAGGACTACAGGTGCCTGCCACCATGCCGGCTAACTTTTTGTGTGTGTGCGTATTTTTAGTATAGACAGGGTTTAACTGTGTTAGGCAGGATGGTCTCTATCCCCTGACCTCGTGATCCACCCACCTCGGCCTCCCAAAGTGCTGGGATTACAGGCGTGAGCCACCGTGCCCATCCTCTATAGAGCTTTATACAATTTCACCACATATGTGGCCTTGGGTCACTACCAATACGTCAGTATACATAACTGTTCTGCTACAGTTTCTCTTGTGCTACATCTTTTTGCTCCTACCCCCAGACTTTTCCTTGCCTTATTTTGCTGAATACAATGTTAGGACTTACATGACTCAGAGTGCTGCAAGATAACATGCTTTTCTTGTTACTGATTTTGAGAAAAGCATTTAGTCTTTCACCATTCTGATGACAGGTGTAGGTTTTTGTTTTTTTTAAGATTTCTTCTATTTCTAGTTTGCTGAGAGTTTTTATCACAAATGGGTGTTGAACATCATTAAGTATTTTTCTGGATCCGTTAATGTGATTGTATAATTTGTCTTTGTTAATTGGTTTTTGAAAGTTGAACCACCCTGGCATACCTAGAATAAATCCCGCTAAGTCATGGAGCAAGATTCTTTTGATATGTTAGATTTTGTTTCCTAATACGTTGTTGAAAACTTTTTGCATCTAAGTTCATGAGAAATGTTGGACTCTAGGAAGTTTGTTTGTGACTTGTTTTGTTTTCACTGTCTTTGTGTAGATTTGTTATCCGAGTAACGCTGGCCTCATAAGACAAATTAGGAAGTGCCTTCTCCTGTGATTCGGAGGAGACGATATAATACCATCTTGTAGGAGATCAGTCAGGGTGGTAGGAGAAAGTATAGGAAAAGGACACAAAACTTCTCGGAAGTCCAGGGGTTTGCAAATCTTCGAAAGAAAATTTGGCTGAAGGCAGCTGAATTCTCCTAAGAGCTTAGGTTAGATAACAAGGGGATGTAAAGAAACTGATCTAGATAAGTTAGTTTACTTAGGACTGGGAATCTGGCCTTTAATCATTACCTGCAAGGCTACTCTCTCAGGGGAGGGCGATCATGTTAATTTTCCACAAATGTGTTGATTCAAAGCCTTTGTCATTAAATCTGTGCTGAATAAATGCCTGGAGGGCGGGTTTGTTGAGGCTGCAGCTGCTGCCTTTTTACAGCACCCTCCTCAGGGTCTGTGAGGGGCCTGGTCCCCTAGCCCACTCTTTCACTGGGTACCTGTGTCTGAGTGCATTCCTTCATCTGTCTTTCGTCCAGTGTCTGCGGGTTGCACCCGGCACCATCTGGGCCAAGGTATTTTCTTTTTGGGATATTTTTAATTACACACTCTTATTTAAGGTTATGGGTCTTTTTCGTTTGTTTTATCTTATTTTGCTTTTGGTAATATGTAGTCTTTTGAGTTGTTTTATTTTTATATGTACAAATTTGTGAGCATACACTTATTTATGATATCTTATTATTCTAAAGATTAAACTATCTATAGTGATATGGTCTCTTTCTTTTGTGATATTGGTGATTTTGTGCCTTCTCTCTTTTTTCATCTTTGTAAATCTTGAATGGCTTAAATTTTTTTCAAACAATTAGCTTTTGTATTTATTGATTTTTCTCTATTTTTTCTGCTTTAAATTTCATTGACTTCTTTTTTTTTCTTTCTGCCTTTTGGGGGATTCTGTTTACCTTCTTTCCTACTTCCTAGAAGTAAGAACTTAGATTATTCATTTGACTACTCTCCTCTTTGCTAGGGCAAGTGGATGCTGTAAGTTTGTCTGTTATCACTGCTTTAGTGCTGATGTGATATTTTCATTTTTATTTCTTAGATTTTTAAATATGTATATATACACATATGTATGTATTTATTTAACTTTTGAGACTTCTTTGTCTATAGATAGTTTAGAAATGTATTATTTAGTTTTCAAGTGTTTGAAAATTTTCCTGCTACCTTTCTAATATTGATTTCTAGTTTGATTCAGTATAGTCAAGAAACATATTTTGTGTCTTTAAACTATTTAAACTTGTTTAGGTTCTTGTTAGGACCAGGAAGTGCTTTATTTGATGAAGGTTCTATGGTCACTTGAAAATAATGTGTGTCTGAATTTTGTTTAGTGAAGTGCTCTATATGTGCGAATGAGGTCCCATTGTTTGATAATATTCTTCAGTATTTCTCTGTCTTGCTAATTTTCTTTCCCCTAATCATCTTAATTGCTGCAAGTGTGGTATTGAAGTATCCAGCTATAATTTGTGGATTTATCCATTTTTTCTCCTCAACTCTATCATTTTTACTTCATATATTGTGAAGATTTGTTATTTGGTGCATACCTGCTTATGATTTCTATGTCATCTTAGTGGATTTCTAAAATAATTATATAATGTCCTTTTTTTTGTCCGGGTAATATTCTTTGCTTTATAATATTATCTAATACTCATAGATATTCCTGCTTTTTTTAAAAAAATTACTGTTAGCATGGTACACATTTTCCATACTTTCAATATACCTATATTGTTATGTTTGAAATTATTTTCTCATAAACAATATAGCTGAACCATTTTTAAATCCATTCTGTTAACCTCTATTTATAAATACACTTTTATTTTAAATCAGTTTTGCATTTGCAGACTTATAGTAAAACTAGTACAGAAAGTTCCAGTTTTTCCTATGATTAACATTTTATATTGGTGTGGTACATTTGTCACTATTGATGGACCAATATTGATATTAGCTTAAGATCATAGTATATTCAAATTTCCTGAGGTTTTACGTTAGTGTTCTTTTTCTGTTCCGGTATCCCATGGAAGATATCACACTACATTTAGTAGTCTTGTCTCTACTGTTCCTCTTGGTTATGATAGTTGCACAGACTTTCTTTGATTTTGATGACCTTGACAGTTTTGAGAATTACTGGTTTGTGTTTTGTAGACTGCCCTTCGATTGGGATTTGTCTGACATTTTTCTGATAATTACACTGAAGTAATGTGTTCTGGGGAGGACAGAAGTAGCACAATATTATCATCACATCATATCAAGGGCACATGCAATCAACATGAATTAATACTTGGTGGTAGCTTTGATCACCTGGTTAACGTTTGTTAGATTTCTCCACTGTAAAGTCACTCTTTTTGGCTCTCTTTAAATACTGTACTACTTGAAAAAAGTTAACATGTTGAACTTGCTATGAACATGTTGAACACGCCCTAATTAAGCAGCTGGGAGTTAAGTTTTTCCACCTTAAGGGTAAAGTAGCTACATAAATGATATTATAAAACTAGTATGTACATATATTACGTTTTTCACAACTGACATAACTTTTTTACTTCAAGTGAAGTCTTGAAACTTTGCTTTCATTTAGGTCCCATGATCTTTTACATTTCTTAAATATTTAAATATCTTCAAATATTTAAGTCTTAAGTATTTTATTCATACATATGGAGCATTATATCAAACTTGATATTTTTAAACTGACAGATATGATTTAAAAGGTTCATGAGGTCTATTATATTTGTTCTACGTTTACCATTTTTTTTTGTTTTTTGTTGTTTTATTTTCCTTTATGAAATTTAAAGCGTGCTAATAGCATAGCTTATCTGTTTGGAAAGTTTCCTTTAATTATGCTTTAAGGCGAGATCTACTGATAACATATTCTCTTATTTTTTCTTTGTATAAGAAGGTGTTTATTTTCCTTTAGTTCCTGAAGGATAGTTTTACCAAATATAGAAATTGAGGTAAATAGTTCCTTTTTTGTGTGTGCTTGGAAAATGGGCCAATTTTTTTCTGGTCTCCATGGTTTCTGATGAAAAATTGGCTGCCATACAAATTGTTGTTCCCCTAAAGGTAATGCATGCTTTTCTCTTTAATTGCTTTCAGGAATTTTTGTGTGCGTGTCTTTACTTTTCAGAAATTTAGGTATGTGTCTTCTGCATTTCCTTGAGTTTATTCTCTTTCAGCTTCTTAAATCTACAGTTTATGTCTTACCACAAGTTGGAAAGATTTTGTCTATTCTTTCCTTGAATATTTTTTATCCCCTCCTTCTTACTCCTCTCCTTCTGTAATTTTGATTACACAAATATTATATCTTTTGCTGTTGTCCCACAGTCCCTGAGAATCCATTTACTTTTTTAGTTTTCTTTTTTGTTGTACTGAGTAATCCTATTGATCTGTCTTGATGCTCATTGATTACATCTCCTGTTATTTCCATTCTACTATTAATCCCATCCAGAATCATTTTGTTTTTATTTCCATTATTATATTTTTTTAGTTTGATAAGTTTCATTTGGTATTTTTAAATAAACTCTATTTTTTGCCTAGATTTTCTATTTTAATATGTTTTAGAAAAATTTGTAGTTGCTTATTGAAACAGTTTCATTATTGCTTTTTAAAAATTCTTGTCCTTCATTCCTACATCTAATTCATCTCAATGTTGGCTTCAGTTGTTTGTCTTTTCTCTTCCAAGTTGTGATTTCCCTTCTTCTTGCTATGATGAGTAATTTTCAAATTTTAAATTGCATCTTGGACATTGTGGATATTTTCTTAAGAGACTCTTGATCCTATTGAAATCTTCTATTTTATCAGTCACGCCACCTGGTTTAGGTTTAATGTGTAGGCTATGGCCTACTTTGTGGGATGATGTTCTAACAACTTTTTGGCTTTCTGAGCTCTGGCAACTTTTTTTTTTTTTTTTTTTTTTTGTCTTTTGCATTCTTTGTTGGTTGTTCTCTTTGAAGAGGCAGGGGGATCATCTATTAAAGCTCCTGCTTGATGCCTTCTGGTGTTACGTGAGAAAACAAAAAACTTTTTTGTTTCACCCAGTATCTATGGGTAAGGCGTTGGAGATGCCGTGGCCATAGGAAAGAGAGTTGCTCCCCTGGTAGGTTTTTCACTAGCCTTTTTCTCTTGGACTTTCCACATAATCTCTGCTGGTACATCCAGCAAAGGGAGGAGCCAGTGTGGGTCACCTTCTGCTTCTTGGTGAAAGATCCTAGGAATGCTAGTTCTGGATTGCTCCTTACTACAATGTGAATGGCTGGGAGATGCCAAGCCTCAGTAATCGTCTGCTACAAGATCGAGGACTCTTGACTATCAAGAAGAAGAGAGAACTCAAAATCATACAGAATAGCAGATAGAGGAACAGTCACTATCTTAGGGATGGGACAGATCATTCAAAGAAGGGGTTCCCATTCTTCCACCTCAGGACTGAGATTCAGAACTTTCTGGGTATGGCACAGCTGTGGCTCATTGGGTGGCAGAGAAGTTGTGGTACCACTTCTGTGGTACTTTCTGGACATCTGTCCTCTTGATCTTGCAAAAAACAAATCTGATATGATTTGGATTTGTGTCCCCACCCAAATCTCATGTTGAATTGGAGAAGGGGCCTGGTGGGAGGTGATTGGATTGTGGGGCAGATTTCCCCCGGCTGTTCTTGTGATAGTGAGTGAGTTCTCACGAGATGTGATGGTTTAAAAGTGTGTAGCACTTCCCTTTTTACTCTCTCTCTCTCTCTCTCTCCTGCTTAATTGTGGTAAGACGTGCTTCCCTGCCCTTCAGCTCCTGCCATGATTTTAAGTTTCCTGAGGCCTCTCTAAAATGCTTCCTTTTAAGCCTGGGGAACTGTGAGTCAGTTAAAGCTTTTCTTCATAAATTACCCAGTCTCAGGTGTTTCTTTACAGCAGTGTGAGAACTGATTGATAACCTTTAGGTAGATACTAGAGAAATCTGTTCATAAGATGTCTCGCCTGAGGTCCTTTGCTGGGACATCATAAGTGGAGAAGTATGGACGGTGTCAGGGGAAACTGGTAGCGCCTGGGTGCTGCGGCAACCTGAAGGCAGAGAAGCTTCATGGGCTGTAGAGTTCATGAGTGGAGGAGACACCCATCTGCAGTACCCGGACACTGGGATGACTGCACAGCCCAGGAGCACAGAAAGCAGACACAGGAGTCCTGCAAGCAAAACACCTTTACTCCTGCAGTGTCCCTCCAGCGCCCTCTACTGACAAAGCATCATGCCAGCTGGCAAGGAAAAACTTTTGAAAGGGTCAGGGTCCATTTTTAGGGAGGCAGGCAAAATCATGGATTTAGAGATGAAAGACGATAAATGGATTACTAGCACATTCCCTTTGGGAAACAAGAATCTCCCAGCTATTTGTTGTTGTTGCTAATAATATAGCTTGAAGTGGGTTTCTCTCATTTCCAATGCAGAGTCTTGCCAAATGCAATCAAGAATGGTCTTTGACTGGCTTGCAAAATACTGAATACAGTAAAAGCCGTTATGATTATTGCAATGGTCTAGGCATTTAGTTATGATGCAGTTATCTAACTGGTTGCTGTAAAGAACAATCTTTGGCAAATAGTGACCACAAATAAATATTTTTTTAAATAAATTAGAAATAATTGGGCTGGGTGCAGTGGCTCACGCCTGTAATCCTAGCACTTTGGGAGGCCGAGGCAAGCGGATCACCTGAGGTCAGGATATCAAGAACAGCTTGGCCAACATGATGAAACCCCGTCTCTACTAAAAAAATACAAAAAATTTAGCAGAGAGTGGTGACGCATGCCTGTCATCCCAGCTACTCAGGAGGCTGAGGCATGAGAATCTCTTGAACCTGGGAGACAGGGGTTGTGGTGAGCCGAGATCGCACCATTGCACTCCAGTCTGGGCAACAAGAGTGAAACTCTGTTTAAAAAAAAAAAAAAGTTCAAGTTGCATAATACTATTTTAAGTGTACTAGAAAGGGAACAATTAAGGGTAATTCCAAGGGTTTGGGAAAATGGTAATGATGTTTTTAAAACAGTGTTAATAATGGCCAGGCATGGTGGCTCACCCTTGTAATCCCAGCACTTTGGGAGGCCGAGGCAGGTGGATCACTTCAGGTCAGGAGTTCGAGACCAGCCTGGCCAACATTGTAAAACCCTTTCCCTACTAAAAATGCAAAAATTAGCTAGACGGTAGTAGTGTGCACCTGTATTCCCAGCTACTTGGGAGGCTGAGGCAGGAGAATTGCTTGAGCCTGGTAGGCGGAGGTTGCTGTGAGCCAGGATCACACAACTGCGTTCCAGTCTGGGCGACAGAGTGAGACCCTGTCTCAAAGAAAGAGAAACAAACAAACAAACAAAACTTAATAGTGTAGATAACAAGTTGTATCAAACATAAGAATCTGAAGGCTTTACAGTTAGTTTGAAGACACAGCACTCATTTCACATAGAAGTAAATAAATGAGAAATGTATTTATTCAGCTCAAAATGAATTATTTTAACTAATTCATAAGATAAAATGAGCTAATTATATTTTACTTAATCATACAGGTTATATTTTACTTAATCATACAGGTTATATTTTTATGAAAATATGGAATTCAGAAATATTTAAATACCAACGTAACTTTGATCCCAGCTCTCGTTTACTTACTGCTGATAAATTTGATATATACATATCCAGTTTTTTCTATAAATATGTCACATAAATTTAAATGTAAAATAGGCATAGCTAATAAAAAGGATATTATATTGAATGTACATTTGCTGACACAACTTTTCACTTAATATAATATGAACATGTCCTATATTAAATATTCTTCGAAAACATAATTTAAATATTCCCATATATTCCATTATTTGGTTATTCTGTAAATTATTAAGCACTTCTTATGTAATAGGAAATGTACTCTTTCCACACTCCTGATCTGTAATTATCATAAGCGAAGCAGCATTGTTGTCTGGGGTATATACCCAGGGTTCCTGTCTCACACCAAGAAAATTAAGGTCAGGAAAACACACACAAGGAGTGAGTTTAGGAACAGAGTTTAACAGGCGAAAGAAAGAGAAAGCAGAACAGCTCTCTCCCTGGTGAGAGAGAGGGGCTTCTGAATAAGAATTCTGGCCCACCATGGAATACACCAGATTTTATAGGCAGGTTTGAAGAGGCTGTGTGTCTGATTTACATGGAGTCCACAGATTGGTTGGACAACATGTGACGTTTACATAACGTTCTGGGAAGGCTGTCCACCCCGCACTAATATGCAAATGGGCTTTCCACGTGGCTGGCGCCGTGTTTTCTGCTTCTTACTATATACATGGCTGGCAAAGAGATGGGAACATGGAGGCGTCATTTTGAACATGCCAAGTCCCAGGTAACCTTTTCCTATTGGCACAGCTACCAGCATTCACCCAAGAGAGCTTCCAGCTTGTTTGTCCATGTCTGCAGCTTGATTTTACAGGCTGCTTTTTGTTAGAAATGGAAATAATTTGGGGGCTACCTTTCAGTAAAAGGAAAACCTTACTGAGTACTCTCCCACCCTCGCTATCTGCCTAATTTCTTCTTAACTCCTGTAGCATAAGTAATAATGCTATGATTAGCATCTTTATACATAATACATGTTGTGAATATAAGATTATTTCCTTCAGATAAATTACCACTTAATTATTAAGTCAAGTTTTAAAAATAATTTTATGATAAAAACAAATAGCAGTATAAGTAACTGTATAATTAAGTGTTTCTAGTTGTTTTCATAATGGTAATAACCATCTTCACACCAAAAAAAAAGAAAAATGTCTGATTCTATTATAATTGCTAATATTGAGTTTGTTTCATAAACACCACTTTGACAATTTGATAGGAACATATCTTTGTGTATTTTCATGTTTCAATTGTTAATGTGGTTGACAAAATTATTTTTGATATCAGCTCTATATATTTTTCTTTTTTCCTTTTTGGTTCCTCCATACTTGCTCTAGAGAGACAACCTTCCATTTGGGATGTTTAGAATAATATTACCTTGACACAGAATCCAAAATTACTACCTTGTGAATGTCTTACGGTGTCAGATTTTTACTTCAAATCAATGCAATTAATGTTTCAACTAACTGATAAACACAGTTTCAGATGTTAATCCTGTTAATTATATGCATTGCCTTTAAATTATCTGTCATCCATTGAAGTCAGCATGGAACTTTAGCATCCAAAACTTTCAACAGAGCTGATTGGTTGAGTGGCAGACTTTCATTTTAATGGGGTTCAATAAAGGGTTTTTATTATGTTAAGCTAAACATGGTTAGTAGGAAGTACATTGAGTATAGGCATTTAAACCTTTGTAGTAAATGAAAGTTGATTGGATTTAATAACTTCATTTTCTGTTTGTAGGGAAGAAACATTAATAGTCCATCATAGTGTGTATAAAGACAGTTCAGCATTTTCTGCCTTATTTAGAGGAATGAAAATCTTCTAGGATAAGTAGTACCATGCTCATCACAACCACCAGCCAGTTTGCACTTCCAGTAGCCATATGATCAGATCTACCCCAAATCGCATATCAAGTATATTTTTCTTATGCAAAATGATATGAGCTTTGCTCAAAAGATCCCTGCCCTTCATGAGTTTATAATCTAAAGTAGGTAGTTGTAGTAGAAGGGTAGAATGAAATGTAAATATTCCTTCTTGAGGTGTTCAAACATAGGGTAACTAATTCTTTATTTGGCAATCTACACATACTTTGTCCTCTAGTTTTCATTTAACAATAGAGCACTACTACATAAACAGAAGAAACAGTATTTTAAATGTGTTCATTATAACTTAACATAGTAAACTGAAAAAAAACACACTACAAAAAAGATATTTAAGCTTTAAATATAGAAAACTAGATCAATGTTGACTAGACTAGCATTTAGAAAAATGTAAACCATAAACATAGTAGTGCAGAAAGGTTGAGTATAAATATTTCTTTTCTGAACTAAGTATTTTACAATATGTTTGCAATAAGATGGATGAGGCTAAAAACAATGAATCTTAATGCTACTCTGTCATGGCAGAATATGATAATGTTAAGTAGAACTAAAGAACTGACCATTTACTTCTAATTTATCTTATCAGTTAATAGACATTCTCAGCAAAGTTTATCAAATTGTTACATTTAAATTGAAAAAACTAGTTAAATACAAGTTGCTTAATTGGCTAATTTCTTGTTCTGTTTATAAGAATCAGACTACAAAGGTCAAGCTAGTTTAAGCAAAAAAGAATAGCCACCATCACCCTCTACCCTTTCTTGAAAAATGATTCTTTACATCGAAAGGGGTCTTATTGTTGATATTTGAAAATAGAGCACTAAATTAGCCAATTAAGCAGCTATTCACAAAATTTAAATAGTTCTCCACAAAAACGTCAGAAAATAAGATGTCAGTGACGGAACCTCAGGGGTCCATGGCTAAGTGACATAAGTCATTCTAGACATTGTGCTTGCCTTGGTGTGGGTTGAAGGCCACCAGGTCTATTCCCAGGTGTTCTCATGTGTATAAGAATCTGAGACACAAAACAAACTTAGGGAAGGGGCATACTGAATGCAACTGCCTAAAATGACAGAGATAGGGCTAGAGAGATTGCCTTATTTATAGGAATAAACTGGCATGGCCATTCCTAACAGCAGGTAATTTAGGGGGTAATACCCTTACCAGTTATAGCAGGATACAGTAGGGAGAGCAGGCCAGAGGTAACTGCTTGTTATATAAACAGAATAAATCTGTTTCTAGTGAACATCGTTCTATAAACTTACATACATCTTAGTAAAAGTCACATCATAAATTTCCAGGGCATTGCTTTCAAATCTCACTGGATGAAATTATCTCTAATAAAGCAGCAAAGCAGGATTTCAAATGTTTTATAACTCTCCTTGTTGGCAGCTTAGATTTTTCTTTGTATAAATGTGGAGATTCTGTGATTTATTTAATGTTTGAAGTGAATAGTTTTGTGTGTACTCCATTGTGTGTGCTTATTTATTATGATTTATGTTTACATTTATTTTATTCAGCAACAGGTGAAAGTACCAAATAATTGACTGGATGTATAACACATAGCCTTCACTTAAAACGTATGTTATCTTTACAACATAAGGCTTGTAATTTCTGAGTTTTCTTACACTATAATTTAAACATTACAGACTAGGTAATGATAGTATATGGCAAAGGAGTAAAAGTTGTTTTTAGATCATACTATAAGGATATGATGTTTTCTAATATTAATAACTTGACCTTATACACATACTTAGAAACATAAAAATTATTTGTACATCAAAATATATTTTTTTGCTTTGTTAAATGGTAGAGAAATGTTTAATTAGATAATCATATAATGGAAACAGCATTAAATTTCATAGCAGAGAACCGAGTTTAAATATCAATTATGTAACTTCTTTAGTTAAATCTGGTCAACTTTCTTAGCCTATATGAACTCGAATTATTTCTATGTAAAATAGAGAAAAATGCCCTATGATTCTTATGAGAAAACTTGGGTAATTTGTTTTTTATGAAAATATCTTCCTAAATTTCAAATAATATTTGATATAGACTATAAATCTCAGTGCATCAAATAGAATAATTATTTTTAAAAAGAAACTAACATTAAAGTCCAAGTTAAAATAACATAAAATTATTATGCCATTCAACCACATTAAGCTGGTGTCTACAACTAAGACTTAAAATTGGTTCAGAGCTGCCTGGAAACTTAGATGAAAAACAAAACAAAACCCCAAACAAAGGTTTGCATATTGGATTATATAGTTTGCTTTGTCAGATTGAAGAAAATATAATAGATCATTTAGGGAGAAAAGTTTCTCTTTCAGCCCTGAACTGTAGTGGGTTAATCCTTAAATAACAAACAGTGGATGACATCATCGGCAATGTTTAGACTGTGGTTTTGCAAAAATAAAAAAACTGAAACATGTATCAATTGGACATTTCTTACATAACCTCTGCATTAAAAAGCAGAATAACATTAAATTTTAACTTTCTGAAAAACATTTTAGCAGATTGCTTGGAAAATGGTCCAGGTACATTGCTTTCTGAAGATTTGACAATACACAAAAACCCTAGAGAACATTGCCTAATGACTAGTTAGCATGTTGAGGGGGAGTCTATTTCAATTGATGTCTCCAGAGAATCTTTGACAACTGTCATTTTGTACTCTGCTTATAGAGTGATTCTCTTTAAGAAGTGAAAAAAAAAAAATAAAGTCTAGGATACCACTTTTGTGTGTAGTCGATTAAAGGCTGATGCATGTATTTTGAGAAGTGGATTTATCTTAATTAAAGGGTTCTCCAGAGAGAAAACCAATAGTATAGATAGACTTGATGCATAGATAGATAATAAATAGATAGACAGACAAACAGGCGTATGGGTGAGAGGATATAGGTTCCTATTAATATGGAGGCTGAGAAGTCCCATTATGGGATCTCTGCAAGCTGGAGACCTGGAATTCCAGTAACAAGGCTCAGTCCAAGTCTGAAGGCCTCAGAACCAGGAAAGCCAATGACGTAACTATCAGATGGAGGCTGAATGCCTGAGAACCTGGTGAAGATAGCGTGAACTGGTGTAGGTCTCACAGTTGAAAGGCCAGGGACCCTGAAGTTCTGAGGTCCAAGGGTAGGAAAATAAGTGTGTCCCAGCTTCAGCATAAAAATAAAGGATCTGGTTTTCCTCTAACTTTTTGTTCTACCCAGCGCCGCTGATGATTGGATGGTGTTCACCCATATTGAGGGGAGGTTTTCTCTAGTCAATTCAAAGACTCATACACAATCTCCTCTGAAACACCCTAACAGACACACCCAGAAATAATGCTTTACCAGCTCTCAAGGTGTTCCTTCATCTAATCAAGTTGACACCTAAAATTAACCATCACAGACCAGATTTTTACCTTACGTGCTTCAAGGCAGGTCAACAATGGTTTTGGAAGACTTAGGAAGGACTCACATTCACCCATAGTAGACCTGAGCTGCTCAAATAATTTGCCTCTCAAATCAGGGAAAAGACAGAATGTCGCATTCCATGTTCTGGGTAATGCTGGTATTTGGTATAAAGGGGAGACATGGGTGTTAGCCAAAAGCAAGAAAAAAAAAAAAACATTCAGAGTGAAGTGAGAAGAACCCAAATAGCAAGATCCATCTCTAAGCAACAGATATGACACAAACAAATTACCCCCATCTATTTCTTTCGTTTTATGCCCCATTTTCCCAAACCACACTGTTGCTGGGGCAAAGGTCCAAAAATTTGCCGAAGACGGTCCGAAACCAATCCCAGATTCAGAGACTGAGTTATTTATCCTCCATCAGTATGGAAATGCCTGGCATTTCCAACATGCACCAGGCTGTCTCCCCTCTCCATATATTTATGAATATTATTCTTTCTTCTTGGAGCGCTCTTTCCCCCAACTCCTTTCCTAGATAATTCTTACAGGTCTCCCCTCTCCATATATTTATGAATATTATTCTTTCTTTTTGGAGCACTCTTTCCCCCAATTCCTTTCCTAGATAATTCTTACAGGTCTCTTACACTTTCATTCCATGTAACTCCTGTCTGATTTACATGCCCCTACTGTATGTTTCAATAGTGCCCTCTAATTCTCCCCATCAATACTAAGTGCATTCTGCTTTAATTATCTGATTCTTTCTCCATAGCCCTCATTAGTTAATAAGGTCCTTGACTATAAAGGCCATGTTTAATTTAGCAATGGATTGTGGTGCTCACCTCCAGTGACCTTCACCTCTATTCATCTTCATTCAAACACTTCCATTGTAATGACTCAGCCTTGTGATGACAGAAAATACTCAAACTCTGGCAAGAAAATTATATAAAAGATGAAATTTAGGAGCACATTAAATTGAATCCAGTGAAATAAAAATTTAAATACATATGAGTGGGAGAGATTATAAATCTTATATATTATTGGCACAAAAATCAAAAGGAAAAGAATTGTATTAGGTATTAAAAACATAAAAACATTCTATGTTAGCCAAGGTAAATAATTAGCTTATCTTTAGCTCCGATAAAATTTCTCATTTATGAACGTAGATAAGAAAAGATCTCCTACACTCTTCTCGTCTTAACAGCACTTACCAATTTGTTTAATATTCAAATAGCATCTATTTAATGTGTCTTTATAGATTGAAAGTTAAAATTCAAACACACCTAAATATATCTGTATTAGTCTGCTTTCGCACTGCTGATAAAAACATATCTGGGACTGGGCAATTTACAAAAGAAAGAGGTTTATTGGGCTTACAGTTCCACATGGCTGGGGAGGCCTCACAATCATGGTGGAAGGCGAGGAGAAGCAAGTCACATCTTACATGGATGGCAGCAGCCAAAGAGAGCTTGTACAGGGAAACTCCCATTTTTAAAACCATCGTATCTTCTGAGATTCATTTACTATCACGAGAACACCACAGGAAAGACCCGCCCCCATAATTCCATCACCTCCCGCCTGATTCCTCCCACAAGATGTGGGAATTGTCGGAGTTATAATTTAAGATGAGATTTGGGTGGAGACACAGCCAAACCATATCCATATCATCTACAAATATTAAGACTTTAGGTAAATGCACTTTTCTGCTATTTTAAAATGTGTCAGGAGAGATCTGTTTAGGAAGGAAGAAGATGACTTTGTAAACACCCACAAAAAAGAATTCAATTTAACTTCTATATTAATGTTAAAAATTACCAAGGGATCTTTAAATTTCATAAAATATCTTGAAAGGAGATCAATGGAAACATCTTAATCAAATATTTGCATTTATTCTCATACCAACCTAGCTTTAGAATAAAACTTACTGCATTGATCTGCCTTTTGTCAATGTAGGGTATTAAAAAAAATTATCCAAGTATGAATAGTTTTCTCATTTTTTTTTCCCTTGTGAAACCCAATATGAAATAGACAAGAGTTGGTACATTCGTTATCTATGGCTGCTGCAACAAATTACCACAAACTTAGTGTCTTACACCACCACAAAATTATTATGCAATTCTGAGAGTCAGAATCTAAATGGGTCTCACTGGGCTAAAATCAAGATGTCAGCAGGACTGTGTTCCACTCTAAGAATTGTGGAGGACAAACTTTTTTGCCCTTTCCAGTTTATAGAGGTTATCTTTACCCCTTGGCCCGTGACTGTCTTTCATCTTCAAAGTCAGCAATGGCTGGATGAGTCGTTTTGCATTTCATCACTCTAACACTGACTCTTCTTTAGCCTCCCTCTTCAAATCCTAAGGACTCTGTAATGACATTGGGATTATCCAGCATATTCTCCCTATTTTAAGGTCAGGCGGTGAGCAACCTTAATTCTATCTGCAACCATTGTAGCAGAACATAATCCCAAATGCTGAAGATTAGGAGGTGGGGCGTTCTGAGGGGTTTCATTATTCTGCATATTATGGTTTGGTTCATTAAAATTTAAGTCTTACATATATTTTCATATTTTAAAAAGTTACAAAGATAGTACACCTTTTGCAAAAGATAGACCTAACAGTTTTGTTGTTATTGTTGTTGTTTTTTAAAGATCTCACTAGTGATACTTCTGATAATCTTGAAATTGTCATTTCTATAAACACATTTTTACAAGAGTCTGTGAAGGTATAATTTGTGTAGTTAAATTTTCCTACTTCAGTATAGAGCTTTGTGAGCTTTGACAGGTGCATATAGTCAAATAACTACAACCACAATCAAGAGGTATCAAACAAATACATTATGCCCCTTGGTAGTCAAACCTAGCATCCACTCCCCTGACACTTCTCATCAATTTCTAGATCTACGGTTTTATCTGTTCTGAAATACGTAAATCTGTTCTGAAATACATAAATACAATCACACAATATGTAGCCTTTGAGTGTGGTTTCTTTCACTCAGCACAATGGATTTGAATTTATTCATATTGTTGCAGGAATCAACAATTTTGTTCCTTTTTATTACTAAGGAGTATTCTGTTGCATGGATGTACCACAGTTTCTCTATCCATTTGAAAGTTAAAGGACATTTAGATATTTTTCAGTCTTTTTTGGTGATTCTTGATATAAAGCCACTAGAAGCTTATGCATACAGGCTTTTTTTGTGAACATTAGTTTTCATTTGATGACATAAATACCTGGGGAGGGATAGCAACGTTGTATGATAAGTGTAGGTTTATTCATATTAGAACATTTCAAAATGTTATTCAGAGTGCTAATATAATTTTGTATTTCTACCTGCCTGTATGAGCATTTCGCTTCATTCTATATCCAAAGCAAAACTTGCTATTTCACCATTTAAACATTTTTGTCCAATGTGTATTTAATAGTTTTAATTGTCATTTTCCTAATTACTAGCTATATTGAGCATCTTTTTGTGTTTTTGTTTTCCATCTGCATACCTTCTTTTAATGCAATATCTGTTTGCATGTTTTATGGATTTTATTTGTGGGTTGTTTTATAATTATTCAATTTTGAAAGCTCTGTATATGCTTTGAGGCCAAGTTTATCAGATATGTAATTCTGCAAATATTTTCTCCTGCTCTGTGACGTATCTTCATTCCTTTAACAGTCTGTTTTAAAGAGCAGCTTTTAAATTTGAGGAACTTTAATTCATTCATTTTAGAATGCATCATACTTTGGGTGCCATAGTTAATAAGATCATTGACTCACTCAAGGTCACAAAGACTTTATTCTATGCTCTACTCTGAGGCTTCTAGTTTATAATCTATTTTGACTTATTTTTTCTATATATTCCAGCATGTTTTGTTGGAAAAACAAAACAAAACAAACAAACAAAAAAACACCTCTTTTAAATTGCGTCAGAATCTGTGATCAGAAAATCATTTATTTTATATGTTCAGGTCTCATACTGGGCTCTCTACCTTATCCTATTGGTCGATTGGTCAGTCCTTTTAAAAATACTGCACTGTACATGATTCTTTATAGTGAGCCATGAAATTGGTTAGAGTGAGTTGTCCAATGTTCTTCTTTATAAAAATAATTTTGGCTATTTTAGATTATTCAATTTTCCACTAACAAATTTAGATTCATCTTTCAATCTCTACAAAAATTTATGTTGGGATTTTTATTGAGAATGCATGGACTATACCTGTTTAGGGAAAATCGATTATCTTAACAATATTGAGTCTTTTAATCCATGAACACAGTCTATCCCACCATTTATTTAGATCTTCTTTGGTTGTGTTCTTTAGTAATTTGAAGCTTTCAGCATACAGAATTTGTATGTATTTAGTTTCATTTAAACTGAAGTAATTATGGTAGTGCCCATTATCCACAGGGGATATATTCCAACACTGCCAGGAGATGTCAGAAACCATGGATACTACCGGACCCAATTGCTATCAATAAGAATACGTTTCTGTTTACGTCGTCAACCCCAAAATTTAATGTCTTTTTCATCTTAATTGAGCACTTATCACACACTATGGCTGTAACTTTTGTAGTTTGAGTTACAACAGCAAAACTAGTATCAAATTTTATTTTTCCTTCTTTAGAATTGTATGGATAGAAGATTTGTTCTTAAGATCTTAGATCTTCAAAATCCATTTTTTTCATTGTCAGTCGTGAACTTTCACATTTTTTCTTTAAAAAGGAAATGCGTTTATTTCTTCATTCACTTAACATTGTTAGAATATATCGGGGGAAATTCACTCCTGATATTTCACGTAGGTTCTTTTCTATTTTCCCTAAGCTTTGGCCAGTCTGAGAAATAAAGGGACAGAGTACAAAAGAGTGAAATTTTAAAGCTGCGTGTCCGGGGGAGACATCACACGTCAGCAGGTTCCGTGATGCCCCCCGAGCCGTAAAACCAGCAAGTTTTTATTAGTGATTTTAAAAAGGGGAGGGAGTGTACAAATAGGGTGTGGGTCACAGAGATCACATGCTTCACAAGGTAATAAAATATCACAAGGCAAATGGAGGCAGGGCGAGATCACAGGACCAAAGGACCAGGGCGAAATTAAAATTACTAATGAAGTTTCGGGCATGCATTGTCATTGATAACATCTTATCAGGAGACAGAATTTGAGAGCAGACAACCAGTCTGACCAAAATTTATTAGGCAGGAATTTCCTTGTCCTAATAAGCTTGGGAGTGCTATGGGAGACAGGGGCTTATTTCATCTGTCCGCTATGACAGCCATCGCCAAAGCAGCCATTTCAGAGTCCTCCCCTTAGGGACACATTCTCTTTCTCAGGGATGTTCCTTGCTGAGAAAAAGAATTCAGCAGTATTTCTCCCATTTGCTTTTGAAAGAAGAGAAATATGGCTCTGTTCCGCCTGGCCCACAGGCAGCCAGAGTTTAAGGTTATCTCCCTTGTTCCCTGAACATTGCTGTTATCCTTTTCTTAAGGTGCCCAGATTTGATATTGTTCAAACACACATGCTCTACAAACAATTTGTGCAGTTAACACAATCATCACAGGGTCCTGAGGCGACATACATCCTCAGCTTACGAAGATGACAGGATTAAGAGATTAAAGTAAAGACAGCCATAGGAAATCACAAGAGTATTGATTGGGGAAGTGATAAGTGTCCATTAAATCTTCACAATGTATGTTCAGAGATTGCAGTAAAGACAGGCATAAGAAATTTTAAAAGTATTAATTTGGGGAACTAATAAACATCCATAAAATCATCACAATTTATGTTCTTCTGCCATGGCTTCAGCTGGTCCCTCCGTTTGTGGTCCCTGACTTCACGCAACAGAATATTAGCAGCACAATTTTATAACAACTAGGTTCACTAAGATTTAAAAAGATCAGTTCTTTTTTTCCTCTTTTTTTTCAACTTTTATTTTAGATTCTGGTGTACATGTGCAATTTGTTTCTGAGGTATATTACATGATACTGGGGTTTGTACTACAACTGAATGGATCATTAAAGAAGTTTGCATACTATTCAATAGGTAGTTTTACAACCCTTGGCTCTCTCCTTTCTTCCCTCTTATATTCCCTAATGTCCATTGTTCCTTTTTTGACTTAAAATAAGCACTTTAACACCTCTCTTTGGCAGAACCAAACTGCCAGCTTTGCTAATCTTGTGCTTTGGGTCTATCATGGAGTATAATAAGGGTTACTTGGACACAATCACTATAATACCATGACAGTTAATCTAATAACTGAAAAACTTGCAAATGACTACAGAGTGATAGCAGAGACAGCATGGAGATGCTAGACAAACGGCTGACTGATTCATGTCCCAGGTGGGACAGAATGAGATGGCATATGATTTCATCATGCTACTCAGAACAGCATGCAGTTTAAAACTTATGAATTGTTTCTTTCTGGAATTTTCCATTTAATAACCACAGTTAAGTGAGGACTGCTATAATGTATTATTGTGCTATAAAAATATTAAGTTTAATTCCTAATAATCCCTTTCCAGTGTAAAGATACACAATTAATTTTTGGTATATTGAGCTTGTTTCCTGCAAACTTGCTAAAATAACATTCTTTTAGTAACTTTATATATATTTTTTAATTTTATATTTAGAGAATCAGGTCATCTGAGAATAGAAATTGTTTAAGTTTTTTCCAGACTCTGTGTTATTCATTTATTTTTCTTGGTTGTATTATTCTGGCTAAGACCTCTAGTGTGATGCAAAATAAAGTGGTGAATGACATTTTTGCTTTTTAAACTGAAACTTAGGGGAAAAGCACTTAGGTTTTGAATATTAAATATGATGTTAGATTTAGGATTTCTGTAAATGCCCTTTATAAGGTAGAGGAAATTTCTTTTCATTCCCAATTTATTAAGAAGATTTTATAATAAATGTAATTTGAATTTTGACAGAAGCTTTTTCTCTAGGTACTAAGATAATTATTTGTTTTTTTTTAATTTGATCTGGCATAATTTAATGAACTATATTGGTAGATTTTTCAAAGGCTGAACATACCAGCCTTGCATTCTTGTGATAAACAACATTATCTATGATGTATTATCATTTTTATTAATATTGCTTTATTTGATTTGTTCATAATTATGATTATCCAATACATTGAAGACTTGGGATGTTCTTCTTTCATGAAGGATATTGTTCTACCTTCTTGTTGTAGCTGTGTAATTTTGGTATCAGAGTAACATTCGTGTCACAATAAGTTGTGAAGTGTTCCCTTCATTTCTATATTCAGGAACATTTAGTTGAGAATTAGTATTATTTTTTGCTTAAATATTTAGTAGAATTAGTTATTATGCCATTATTATGCCAAAGAAAGCCATCCGGACCTTCACTTTCCTTAGGAAACTTTATTTTATAACAACTGTATTGCTATTTAATTTACATGATATTAAACATGTTCATTTTAAATGTACATTTTAATGATTTTTAGCAAATTTACAGTTGTGCAACCATTACCACAATCCAATTTTGAATCATTTCTGTTACCTTTGAAATGTACTTATTGTCCATTTGCAGTCATTTTCCTGTCCTATATGCCTTTCCGTCATCCATGAATTTATTTTCTCTATATATAAATATGGCATTTCTGGATATTTGCTTTAAATTAGAATTTATTTGATATTGAAGTATTCAATTTTGTTTTCATTTTACTTGCTAGCATGGCAAATATTTTTCCATTCTTTTAATTTTTAACTTGTATAGTTTTGGCGGCTGGTTTCTTTCACGTAGCATGCTTCTAAGGTGCATCAATGTTGCAGCATATGCCATTAGTCTATTACTTTTACTTCTGAATATATTCCATTGCATACATTTACTACCTGTTGTTTATTCATTTACCAGTCGATGAACATATAGATCATTTTCAGATTGCAGTTATTAAGAATAATGCCATTAAACACCAATGTACAAATTAGTGTATATACGTAGGTTTTTATTTCTCTTGCATTGATAGCTAGCAGTGAAATCGCTGTTTCATGTAGTCAATTTGTGTTTATTTAAAACATAACCAATTTCTTTTTCACAGTGGCTGAAAAATTTTGCATTTCAAGTAACTCCACAAATTTTCCACCACTTGTTATTGTCTCTCTTTCTGTCTTTCAATTAATGAGGCAGGAGAATAACTTGAACCCAGGAGGCGGAAGTTGCTGTGACAGGAGATCACACCATTGCACTCCAGCCTGGGCAACAAGAGCGAAACTCCGTCTTTAAAAAAAAAAAAAAATTACTCTAATTAATTTAGTATTTTATTTTATCTTCTTATTGATTTAGTTGCTTCATTATTTTACTGATTGCTTTAATGTTCATAATATAAATCTATAGCTTATCTATGTCCATCTTCAAGTGATATTATACCATTTCAATAGAACCCTAGACTGGTGTACATCCATTTCTCCTCTCCTGAATTTTGGATACTGTAGAGATACAGTAGCCACAAAACATTATTATTTTTGTTTAAACTGTCATTTTTAAATAGATTAAATAATAAGAAAATTGTGTTTACTCAGGTGGTCACTACCCTTTATTTCTCTGTATAGATTCATATTTCCATCTGATGTCATTTGCATTCTCCCTGAAAAACTTCCTTTAACATTCCCGATAGTGCAGGTTGCTAGAGATGATTTATTCAGTAATTCTACATCTATAATTGTCTTTTTCACTTACTTTGATGGATATTTTTATTATGTGTAGAATTGGGAGTCATCCATTGTTTTTGTTATTGTTTTGGCATTTTAAAGATATTGCTCTCCTATGTCATCACTTGCATTTTTTCCAGTATTAATCAGCTGCCTTCCTTATCTTTGTTACTCTATGTACAAAAGTGTCTTTTATTTATGACTGCTGTTAAAATTTTGACTCCATCACTGATTTTCAGCATTTTGATTGTGTTTTTATTTGGCATAGTCCTCTTTGTATTTTTGTGCTGAGGATTTGTTGAGATGTGGTTTTGTGATTTTCATCAAACTTAGAAAACTTTATCCCATCATTTCTCCAATTATTTTTTTCTGTCTTCTGATCCCCTTTTGTTCTTCCTCAGAGACTCCAAATTCTAAGTACGTGAACTCAGCTGAAGTTGTTTCAAAAATCACTGAATTCTCATTTTTTTATTCTAATTTTTTCTTTATTGTTATGGACTGAGTTCACTTATATTTTCAGCTGTAATGTCTAATCTGCTGTCAACCCTTTTCAGCGTATTCTCCGTCTCAATGTAGTTTTTCATCCTACTGCAGCTTGATTTGGGTCTTTTTAATACATGTCCCTGACTTTTCTCCAGACAGCAGACAGTTATAATACATGTTTTTAATGTCCATTTATGCATGTTTGAACACTTGTGTAAATACTGTCAATTCTGGGTCACTTTTAATTGGCTAAAATCCTCGTTATGGTTAATGTTTTTCTGCTCCTGTTAATGCCTAGTAATCTTTCAATATTTGATGTACATTTTACTTTTTGGTGCTAGGTATATTAGGGTTTCTATAAATATTCTTAAACTTATTTCTGGTTGCAATTAAGTTAGTTGAACAGATTAACCCTCTGAATTCTGCACGTGAGGTTTCTTTGGCAGATCATAGCATTGCTAGGTGTAAAGCTAATCATTCCTCATTATGAATTATGATTCAAGAGTTACAATACCAGTGCCCCATGGCCTATGAGCTTTTGCTTTGTTCAAATCTAGTAGGCACTATTCACAGCTCTCTTAAAATGGTAATCTGCAGTAATCACATGGCTTATATAATTTGTTTCTGCCTCTTTTGTATTATTGTGCTGCATTTACTGATGTTCAATGTCTTGAAAACCAGAATTATATATTTTGTATTTTGTTCCTGTTTCAGATGAGAAAGTAACTTGGATCCCATAACTCTATATTGGCCAGAAGCAGAAAAATGTATTTATTATTTTTATTATTATGTTATTATTCCTGGTTTACTATTTTATTATTCCTAGCCTTGCCAACATCCTTCTTTAACCTCAGAGTCCCAAACATAAATGAATACTCAAGCAAAGTATGACCACAATGAGAGAAGTTCTCTCTCAGCCTCTGTTCTTTATATAGTACTCTTATTAATTAAACTAAGATTACATTAGACTTGTATTAGTAATATCACAGTATTAACTGAAGTTTATATCTCTTCACTAGCTGGGGTGACTTACTCTGGTCTCGTTTTCAATCAGACATCAAAAAATACCCAGAATAAACTACAGTATTCCAAACATTCATGTTTTGATCAATCCAGAGTTCAGCATAATCATTTTCTTGCTTACCACTATTGCATTTCTATCTATACAGTCTAAGATAATATTTACCTTTTAAAGGCATCTAACATAGTTGTCTAACAAACAAAAATTATTTATAAATGTGGATAAATCTCTTACGTATTATATTGTTGAGTAGTTTTTCACAGAATGTTTCTTTATTTCCATGAGAAATATATGTTATTTGTTTCAATATATATTTAAAAAAAACTATTGTCCCATCATGCTGACTTGTCAAGATAATTTGAAATTCTAGTTATGTTATGTAGCTATCCCTCCAGTTTCATTGTCAGGTGAAAATTTAATTAACATAGTATATTAATCAAAATTAATATTATATATTAATCAAAATGACTCCTAAAACATGTTCAAGGTAGGAGTTTCTTTATTAAACCAAAAGCGTTTACAACATATCAGAATAATTTTATGCAAATACAAAACAAATACATGTTGGACTGGACAAGGGTGACAAGCTAGACATTCAGACAAGTTAGATAAGTTTGTTGTCACTGAAGTTGTTTCTCAATATTATCTTTATGCTATTTCAGAATATACTCAGCTATTGTTAGACATAAACTTGTGTAACAAAGAACAGTGGAAAGTTTTCATGGCCACATTTACATTTAGAATACAATTTTAATGTGCAAAATTAAATTATTGTAGAGAGCAGCCTGAAATCATTTAATAGAACATGAAATAATCAGTGCTGTATTTCTTGAGATTATACTTCACATATTATATGTTTATGATGGGTGTATATGTCCGTGTATATTGAAAGGTATGATTAAACCATTTTAATGTTGCCACAGTTACATACATACTCAGATAGCATTATTATATATTCTCTCACTCATTCAACTGTTACATGAAAAACAATGGTCAAACATTGTAAAAAAAATAGCATGCTGCATTTTTTATAGGAAAGAGGGAGATGATGATTTGTGCTTGCCTCTGCTAAAAATGAAAAAAATATATCACAAATAACAAAATTATTCCATGTAGTGGAAAAGGTAGACATATACATGGCAGGAGTAAAATGGATGTTTCTGTAGTGTAGCTTATGATTTTAAATTTCACATCATATGAATCCATTACTTTGTCAAAAAAGAAAACTTGATTTAAGAATAATAATATAGAAAAAAGATTTTGACAGCCTATAAGATACAGTCTTTCATAGACACATCTTTGGGAAAAGTATCCCATTCTGCCAATATAACCATAATTTGTATATTTAGAAAAGCTTTGTCAGCATATATGTAACTGTGGCAACTTTAAAAAGATTTAATCATACCTTTGAATATACACGGACATGTACACCAATCATAAACATATAATGTATAAAGTATAGTCTCAAGAAATACTGCACTGATTATTTCATGTTCTATTACATTATTTCAGGCTGGTCTCCATAATAATTTAATTTTGCAAATGAAAATTGTATTCTAAATGTAAACGTGGCCATGAAAACTTTCCATTGTTTTTGTTACAGAAGTTTATGTCTAACAATAGCTTAATAATATATTCTGAAATAGCATAAATATAATATTGAGAAACTACTTCAATGACAACAATTTCATTCTTATCTAATTAATGAAGATGAAGGCTGAGAAGAAAAGTAATGTAGAATCAGGTAAAATAGCTAATAATAAGCATATTCTTGGATAGAACTCTTGAATAAAAACTCAAATATCATATGCAATGTATTCAGAGTTATTGTATGGGTAAGTTTTATAAAATAATTCTGGGAGATAACAAAGACTTTCAGTATCTTAATGGGATATTGCTTTTCCAAATTATACATGAGAAAACACTAGAGATCTAGTTATAAAAAATAAAAAGCGTGTAGCAATATGAAAATTATGTGTTACAAAGAAGAAAATTCAGGTTAGATAAGAATATTTGATGGTAGTTGTCCAGCTGACCACTATTAACATTAAATACAGCAGTATTCTTTACTACCTTGGGATATATCTTTATTTCAAATGCAAAAATTTGGTAAGCATAATAATTGCTAAATAAAAAGATAATACAATTACCTATTTTCTGTTTTTACTGTAAAGCACTACCCATGTGAAAGTTTATGAAGAAATATTTTCACTTGACCAGTATTTTTTTAGGAAGTACCACTTTATATATATGTGCTTTGATTTTAAATACAATTGATTAAATGACATTTTTCTACAGGTCATAAGAATTTTGTATTACCTCCTATTAATAGTATGTTTATACAAAGTGTGACCAAAGGGTTATTAAGAAATATCTTCTTTGAGCTTTCCTATACTTTATTTACAGGTAAAAGGATCAGTATTTTACTTTTTTTTTAGATAAAATTTCAGTATTATGACTAGGTTGAGGAATCCTACAGGATATGGAGTCCAGTCATTACTAGCTAAAAGAATCATAGAAAGAAGCACATGAACTTTGACTCTGGGCTTCTTCGAAGTCTGAAATATAATCAAGATTAATTTCCAATATAAAAACATTTGTATGATGTTTCACATACCCTTAGTTTCTCTCTTCTCTTTACGATTTTTACCATTCTCTTTTAGTGATACAATCTCAAGTTCTAGATGCACATATAACCAACTGGCCAGCTCAGGGTTACACATTTCCCTTGCAGCCAGGTGTGTTTGAGTTTTACACAGTGAGATGTAAGTTGAGGTGTTTTGTACATTTCCAAATGATACATACCAAAGAATAAAATTAGAGCCTTATATCACACCGTACACAAAAATCAACTCCAAATGGATTAAAGATCTATACCTAAGACCCAAATCATGCAATTCCTAGAAGAAAACATAAGGGGAAAAACTCTTTGACATTAACCTTGGCAGTGATTTTTTGGATAGTGTCATATGGCGCAGGCAACAGAAGCAAAAATAAGTGAGGTTGTATCAAACTAAAAACTTTCAACACAGCAAAGGAAATAATCAACAAAATGAAAAGGCAGCATATGGATTAAAGGATTATATATTTGGACTATGTAACTGATAAAGGTCAATATTCAAAATATATAACACAGCTCAATAGCAAGAAAAAAAATGAATAACCCAATTTAAAAATGGGCAAAGAACCTTAACAGACATCTTTCCAAAGACATAAAAATGACTCATACATATATGAAAAGGTATTCAATATCAGTAAAGAGAGAAATGCAAATCAAAACCACCATAATTTATCACTTCATACCTGTCAGGATGGCTAATATCAAAAAGACGAGTCATTACAGGTGTTGACGAGGATGTGACGAAAAGGGAATCCTTGTACACTTTTGGTGGGAATGTAGATTGATGTAACCAGTGTGGAACAAGTAAGGATATTCTTAAATAAATTAGCCGGGTGTGGTGGCTCATGCCTGTAATCCCAGCACTTTGGGAGTCCGAGGCGGGTGGATCACAAGGTCAGGAGATTGAGACCATCCTGGCTAACACAGTGAAACGCCGTCTCTACTAAAAATATAAAAAATTAGCCGGGCGTGGTGGAGGGCACCTGTAGTCCCAGCTACTTGGGAGGCTGAGGCAGGAGAATGGTGTGAACCTGGGAGGTGGAGGTTGTAGTGAGCCGAGATCGCGTCACTGCACTCCAGCCTGGGCGACAGAGCGAGACTCCATCTCAAAAAAACAAAAAAAGAAATTAAGAGAAGATTTATATGTCATCCAACAATCCCTCTTCTGTGTACATATCCAAAGGAAATTAATTCTCCACCTCATAAAGATATCTGCACTTGCATGTCCATTGCACCAGTATTCACTATTGAATTGTGATATTAAAACATTGGAAGTGTCTGTTGATAGACGTATCAATAATGAAAGTGTGATATATATATATCACACTTTATTGATATATATATATACACACACACACACATACATACATACATACATAATGGGATATTATTCAGCCTTAAAAAAGTAGATTCCGCTGGCGGGGTGCTGTGGCTCACGCCTGTAATCCTGGCACTTTGGGAGGCCGAGGTGGGCGGATCACAAGGTCAGGAGTTCGAGACCATCCTGGCTAACACGGTGAAACCCCGTCTCTACTAAAAATACAAAGAATTAGCCGGGCGTGGTGGCGGGCGCCTGTAGTCCCAGCTACTCAGGAGGCTGAGGCAGGAGAATGGCGTGAACCCCAGAGGCGGAGCTTGCAGCGAGTCAAGATGGCGCCACTGCACTCCAGCCTGGGTGACAGAGCAAGAGTCCGTCTCAAAAAAAAAAAAAAAAGAAAGAAAGAAAGAAAAAGTAGATTCTCCCATTTCTGACAACATGGATGAACCTAAAGGACATTATGCTAAATGGAAGAAGCTTATTAAATAAACAAATTTTCTATCAGTAGTTATTGAACTTCTCTTACAGGTTAGAAACATTTTAATCACTGAAGATGCAGAGATGAGCAAGACAGATACAAATCCTGGAAGTAATGAAGCATGTATTTTAGTGAGGTATTCAAAAATAGCCAAGCAAACAAAAGTGATAAGACAAAGCAGGTTAAAGTGGAAAAAAGTGATGGGAGGAATGGGATTGTTTCAGATATCATGGTCAGGTAAGGCCACCAACAATGTAAAGGACATAGCAAGTTTCTCTAGAGAGGACACAGGAAGAAGACAGTGGTCAGGGCTGAGCTCTCTGAGCAGACGGCTCATTATGAAAAGCTAAATAAAACAATGAGCAAAGCACACGAAGATCCGGCTGAGAACATGTCAGGGTGAAGGATCAGAAAGTGTAAAAGCCTGTGTGTGTAGCAAAGTCATTGTGTTTAAGAAATGGCAAAAGGATTATTGGGAATAAAGCAGAGATTGAGATGAGTACTGAAAGAGAAGCAAGAACCAGAGAGGTCTTCCAGACCGTGTTGAAAAGGGAGAATGTGTTCTGAGTAATATAAGGAGCTGTTGAAGGGATTTGAAACGAAAAGGCTTACAGTTTGATTTTCATTTAAAAATATATGACTCTGGCTTCTGTGTGAAGAAGATATATTGGGAAGTAAAGCAACAAGATGGAAAGCAGAGTTACCCACTAAGATTGGCGTTTCAGCAGCCCAGATTATAGATGATAGTGGTTTTGACAAAGAAGACACAAGAGGGGCCAGGTGCAGTGGCTCACGCCTGTAATCCCAGCACGTTGGGAGGCTGAGACGGGTGGATGGCCTGAGGTCAGGAGTTCAAGACCAGCCTTGCCAACATAGTAAAACCCCATCTCTACTAAAAATACAAAAAAAAAAAGCTGGGCGTGGTGGCAGGTGCCTGTAATCGCAGCTACTCAGGAGGCTGAGGCAGAAGAATTGCTTGAACCCGGGTGATGGAGGTTGCTCGAACCCGGGTGATGGAGGTTGCAATGAGACGAGAATGTGCCATTGCACTCCAGCCTGGGCAACAAGAGCGAAACTCCATCTCAAAAAACAAACAAACAAAAAAAAACAAAGAAACAAACAAACAAAAAAAAAACAAGAAATCTGGAAAAAGTGGGATTATTATTTTGGATATGTGTTGAAGGATGAATCAATGAAACTTGCTAGAAGAGTTTTAACTGCTTTATTGGAATATAATTCACATATCATACAATTCATCCATTTAAATGTACAATGCAGTGGTTTTTAATATATTAACAGAATTGTGCCACCACAGTCAATTTCAGAATTTTTCCATTATCCCCAGAAGAAACTCTGAACCCTTTCGCTCTCAGCACCGACAGACCTGTCCCACCCCTCTAGGCAATTACTACCCTACTTTCTGCATTCAAAGATTTTTATATTCTGAGCATTTAATATAAATATAACCATATAAAATGTAGTCTTCTGTGACTGGGTTTTTTCACCAAACATAATGTTTTCAGGGTTTACTAATGTTGCAGTACGTATCACTGCTCCATTCCTTTCTAAGGCCAAATAAAACTTTACTGTACGGATCCATTTGCCTTTTAAATCACACAAAGGAAGAAAAGAGAAGAAATATGCATGTATTCTGTTTCTGATGCTGGTATAACTCTCTTTACTAGGTTCTTTGTGTAAGTTTGAATTACTTTCAGAATGTACTTGCTTTCTGCCTGAAGAATTTCCTTTCACTATTTCTTATAACATAGGTCTGCTAGAAACACATTTGCTCAATCTTTATCTGGGAATATCTTTATCTTGCCTTCATTTTTAAAAGATAGTTTGCTGCCTATAGAACTCTTGGTTGACTTTTTTTTTAAATCTGAACACTTTGAATATGCTGTCCTACTACTTCCTCTCCATTGTTTCTGATGAGAGGCCAGCTGTTAACCTTATTAAGCATTCCTTATAACCAATGAGTCATTTTTCTCTTGCTCCTTTCAAGATTTTCACCTTGTCTTTGGCTTTCATCATTTTTATTATGATGCATCCATGTGTGGGTCTCTTTGTGTTTATCTTATTTGAATTTCTCTGAGTTTTCTGAATGTGTACTTTATTGTTTTTCAATAAACTTTAAGGAATTTTTAGTCATTACTTTTTTGAATGTTTTCTTCTCCTTTCCTCTACTCCGGTATTCCTATTACACACACGTTCACATTCTTAATGGTGTCCTGCAGTTGTCATTTTTTTCATTCTTTTTTCTCTCTACAGATTTTATAATCTCTATTATCTTTAATATCATTAATTCTTTTTTTCTTCCAGTTTAAATCTACTGTGGAACACTTTAGTGATTTTTTTCAATCAGTATATTTCTCAACTCCAGAATTTTCATTTGATTCATTTATAATTCCTATATCTTTGTTGATATTCTCCATCTGATTAGACATTTCATCACACCTGCATTTAATTCTTCAAAATAGTTGTCTTCAATTATTTGAACATATTTATAAAGTTTACTTTGAATTCTTGGTTAAGTCTGACATTTGCTCATTCTCACAAGCAGTTTCTGTTGCCTGCTTTTTTCCTCATCTATGGTTCAGACTTTTCTCGGGTTTTTAAAACATTTATCTCATAATTTTGTTGAACATTGGAAAATTTAGGTAACATATTTTGAGAAATCTGGATAATCCCAACTCTGGATTTCCTCACTCCCCAACTCTTAGAACTTGTTTACTTGTTTGTTTAATGATGAACTGGATTAATTTATTAAAGTCTGTTTTTATCCTTTGCCTCTTCCCTGACCCACAGTTCCTCAGAGGGTACAGTCTTAGGCATGTGTACTCAGCCACCTTAGAATGACAGTGCTCTCTTTGACTTCTCTTTCCCTGACCCAGACCCAGCTGATAATCAGCCAGCAATTGGTAGAGTTTATCAATTGTTTTCAAGAATGATCTGGGGCATGAATTGCTCCATGGACTGATGCAGTTAAATCCCAACTTTTTTCCAGGAATAGTTTCTCAGCTCAGTTTTGAAATTTGTTCTGACTCAGAGCTCTTAACTGTCTCTTTGCCTGGCTCTCTCACTAAACTAGCTACCCTGTAGCCTAGCAATATGTCTCCGATGAAGTTTTGGTCTCCTTTTAATTACTTTCATCACAACATTATTTTATAAAGTACTTTTAGGTTTGAACTTCTTCTAGCACTGTGGCAAATAAAGCTTTCATTTGAATAGGCTTCAGAACCCCCTGTTTTACAGCCTGCCTCTCTCCTTGCGCAAAATGTCTGCACTATAGCTGTGTATCCGAAAGCAGAAAAAGTGGTAAGTTTCTCTCTCAGTAAAATCTCTGCTTAGGAACTAAGCACTTGTTATAGTAGGGGTTGGGGAGTGCCTTTAGTCTTCTTGTCTAGCCTATCGTGGCCTGGACCCTCCATCCTATGAAAGAACCAGGGCCAGGGCCATGGATTTAAGAAATGTTGACATCTCCCTCTGCTGGGAAAATACTGTGACATAGATGAAGAAGGATTCCTGTGTTCTTGGCTGCACCTACATAAAGTGGAATTTCCATCACATTAGGATGGGGTGGGAAGGAAATAGAGAGATTCATGGCTAAAATGATACAGTCTCTCTCTGCTTCTGCTGTTTAAAAAATTTTCTTCAATAAATATTTCTTCACTTGCTGCATGTCCTTTAGACCATTTCCTGAAACATTAAATTGTTGTTTTCAAAATGATTTTAAGCTGTTTTACTGGACGGCATGTTAGCCAAGCTTTCACATTGTCATTACAGAAAAGGAACCTGAGACAAGGAACTCTAGTAGTAGAGCGCTAAATTACTGGGGAGCCCTGTGGCCCCATTCCCTGAGAAGAGGATTATAGAAGGAAAAAATAAATTGGCAAGTGTGTGCAACTCAAAGGTTGTATTGGGACAAACTAACATCCAATGCCTATTAGATATCCAAACTAATCATATGATTAGAAACGCAGATTCCAAGGTGAATATTACTGGACATGGTGAGAATTTGGGATTCAACATGTAGATATTATTTAAAGCCATGAACCTAAATGAGAACTCCAAGATAAATGAATATAAGTAGAGAAGGGGTCTGCTCAATTTCATTTGTTTTTCTTTTGTGCTGGAGACTTTTTACATACAACACAGTTTAAGAGTCTTTACTGTGAGCTCCAGGACATGTAAATATTTAGAGAATAGAAAGACGATGAGTGAGCAGGGATATAGACCAAAACAAAACAAAACAAAACACAACAAAACAAAACAATGGGTAGTAAGATAGAAGAAAAGTCAAGAGAATATGATTTCACAAAAGTACTATGAGAGGAGCTTTTAAGGAAGAAGACAGTTTTTGAATGAGTCAGATGCTAGTGAGAAAGATCACATGAAATGAGGTCTGAAGCCACTGAATTTTGAAAAAAAATAAAGTATATGGTAGATATTGATTAGATCAATTGAAGCTGAGTAATGAGAATGAAAGCCAGATTTTTTGTTTTTTTATTTTATTTATTTATTTATTTTGAGAGACAGTCTTGCTCTGTTGCCCAGGCTGGAGTGCAGTGGCGTGATCTCGGCTCACTGCAACCTACGCCTCCCTGGTTCAAGCTATTCTTCTCCCTCAGCCTGCGAGTAGCTAGGACTACAGGCATGTGCCACCATGTGCAGCTAATTTTTTTGTATCTTTTTAGTAGGGATAGGGTTTCACCATGTTAACCAGAATGGTCTTGATCTCCTGACCTCGTGATCCACCCCTCTTGGCCTCCCAAAGTGCTGGGATTACAGGTGTGAGCCACCGTGCCTGGGTGAAAGCCAGATTTGATTGAATGCTTGACGTGGAAAAATTTTGTAGTACAAATACATAACTAAAGCATTTGCTGTATTATAAAGGTTGAAAAGAAACTTAAATGTTATAAAGTCTAATTAAAAAACAAAATTACTACCCCTTAGTCAATATTAGACGATAGAGACATAATGATAAAAAATTTTATTGCTATACCAATCATAAGTGTTGTGGTGCTATATTTTATAAGATACTAAATCTTCATGCTCTAATGTATTCTGGTATAGTTTTAAGTTAGAGGGGCACTTTTGTTAAACAAAATTTGCTCTAGTAATATCAGGTAAACTGATCCAAAATCATGAAAGATTAAGCCCACATATGGAAAAACCATAGTTTAAGGTACTTCTCTTCTTAAACACTGCTTTCCTTTATTTGGAAAATATCTGTTTTTAGTCCAAAACTATGCTAGATACTTTTAAATAATGTACTTTTGAGGACCCATAGCTTGACTGTGATGCCTCTAGTGAGGAAGTAGCATTGATAACATAATCAAACAATCCGTGTAGGTTTGGCTTTATCAGCTCTGTACAGTGTTTAGTAGTTCCAATATATAATAATCTTCTTTGATACAGAAACTTTATATCTTATTCATTTCAATACATTTATCATTTAGCCTAATAATGCCTGAAATATAGTGGATGTTTAATAAAGAACTTTTCAATTGATTGATAATTAATACTCTGGATTACATAAGACTAAAAATCATTTAAATATGACTTCAAGATAAATTAATGCTTCTTGGTTTCTAATTTATGTCCAGGCCATAAGTGTATGAGTTATAAAGATGCTATTGGGGGTGGGAATATTTTAGCTCCTGCTGATATGAGATCACAGATAATCTGTACACATTTGCCCATGTAAAACTACACTCAGATCAAAATCCTAAAATCAGTACTTATTCTTAAATATACTGGAATTTGTTAAATTTTTAATCATTAGAATGATTTTTTAAGATTCTTTGTTACTCGTGGAATAAATTTACATTATATGAAAATGATGATGGTTTTACCTGTAATTCTGTTGTGCATAATGCACATAGCATCATTTACCTTTCGTTTTCTAATATAAAATCGATATTTATATATTGGCCTTGTATTCAGAGACGTTGCTAAGTTCACTTCTTAACTATAAGTATTTCTTTGTGGATTCTTTGGAATTTTTTTACATAGAGAGTCATTTCATCTGTGAGTAATTTAGCTTTGTTTATTTCTTTCCAATTCTTATAACATATTCAATACTTTTATTCCATTCTAGTTTTATTCCTCTGGTTAGGACCTCCAGAATAATGCTTAATATAACTTAACAATAGGCATTGTTTTCTCCTTTCTTAGTTTACAGGGAAACCTTTCAATATTTCATTATTATCAAGTGTTTAATACGTATAGGTAGATTAGAGGTTAAGCTGGCAAGCTTGGTAAACGCTTTTCTCATGGGTGGTGTTAAATTTTGTGAAACAATTTTTGTAACTATGCTGAGATAATATTCCGTGTTCTCTTTCAAACTCTCAAGGTAGTTAAAACATTTAATGATTTTCTAGTATAAACCACCTTTACATTCCCAGAGTAAATATAATGTGCAGATACTGTGCATAGGATTTTTATTTTATCAGCAAAATTATCTTGTAATTTTTATTTCATGTACTATCTCTGTTGAGTTTTGTGGCAAAATTCTACTAACCTCATGAAATCTGTTGGAGAGTGTTTCCCATTTTTATTCTGTTCTCAAGAAGAGTTATGATTTTCTATCATTTTCTTCCTGAAAACCTAGAATCTGTGTGTGTGTGTGTGTGTGTGTACATGTAAAAATTTTTAACTATTTCTGTAGTTTCTATAATACTACAGGAGTATCCAGGTTTTCTATTTCTGATTAAGTCAATTTGGCAATATTTTGTAGGCATCTACTCATGTCAACAAAATTTTCAGATTTATAATGTTGCCATGAAATATTTGTACCATTTTAACACCTGTAATATTTGTAATAATGTGTTTTTTATTACTATTTATTTGCAAATGTTTAATTTTTTTCTTAATCAACTTTACGACACATTAGTAATTTTTTTTTTTTTTTTTTTTGAGACGGAGTTTTGCTCTTTGTTGCCCAGGCTGGAGTGCAATGGCACGATCTCGGCTCACTGCAACCTCTGCCTCCTGGGTTCAAGCGATTCTCCTGTCTCAGCCTCCCACCTAGTTGGGATTACAGGTGCCTGCCTCCCCGCTCAGCTAATTTTTGTATTTTTAGTAGAGATGGGGTTTCACAATGTTGACCAGGCTGGTCTTGAACTTCTGACCTCAGGTGATCCGCCCCCTCTCGGCCTCCCAAAGTGCTGGGATTATAGGCATGAGCCATCATGCCTGGCCATACATTAGTCAGTTTTATTGCTTATTATAATCTACTTTTGTCATCACTGATCTAACAAATTTTATGCTATATTTCATTTCATTAATTCCTTTTCTTGTCTTTATTATTTTTTCCATCTACATTGTTATGAGAAAACCTTCGTACTATAATATTCTCTTCCCTTCTGCAGATTGAGAAGGAGCAGAGACCAAAGAATGAGTTGGACAAGTCCAGCTGGATGAGTAGATGAGTAAGGCTTCCATACAGGGCACTCCTGGATGGCAACAGGACAGCTTTGGAGATCCTCGCTGCCTCCTGTCTCTAAATTGCTTTTTAGCTAATTTTCTGGCTCTATGCCTACTGTGCTTGAGCAATAAGACTGGATTTCCTGGTTGGTTCTCAGATGCTCTCCAGGATGTATGGATTCTCAGGGAAACCTGCTGCTCGGCTGGGCATCATGGCCTTGGCTCACTGCACAGCCTTCAGGGTTCAATCAGTGGACATATGCCCTTAAGCAAACTTGTGTGGAATCTGTAGCACTACAATCCATACTGTTCTCTAGATTTTGCATTCTTTCCCCCAATTTTGTGTCAGAGTCCCTGAGTAGAGTATGAGAGGAAGAACTATACAGGCCTATAAGTGTACCCATGGCTTATGCGTACAGGCCACATATACAGTATACATAGCAGCATGCAAAGGAGAAACTAACTATATTTATGATGCCTGCTAGTAAAACATATCTCCAATTTGAGGTTAGGTATGTAACCAATTTGAGAATGAGTCAGAGAAACCTAATTGGGTTAACTCATGGCTCTGAGTTAACAAATAATTTAAGGTGTTTGTAAAATTACTGTGTTTATCAGGGCTATAATTGTAACAGGTGTATTAGTCTGTTCTCAGGCTGCTAAGAAAGACATACCCAAGGCTGAGTAATTTATAAAGGGAAGATGTTTAACTGACTCACAGTTCCACATGGCTGGGGAGGCCTCACAATCATGGCGGAAGACAAAGGAAGAACAAAGGGATGTATTACATAGCAGCAGGCAAGAGCGCTTGTGCAGAGGAACTCCCGTTTATAAAACCATCAGATCTTGTGAGACTCATTCACTACCATGAGAACAGTATTGGGGAACCACCCCCATGCTTCAGTTATCTCCATCTGGCCCCGCCCTTGTCACATGGGGATTATTACAATTCAGGGTGAGATTTGGGTGGGGACACAGCCAAACCATATCAACAGGTAACGCCTTTAAGAGCTTATGTTGGTTCTCTGTTGATTTGGGGATGGGGGATGCCCACCTACCTCTGGGTGGATGCAATCCCCAGTGAGTCTGAGTTGTATTACTATTTCTTTTTAAACAGTCACTTTAGTTCTGTCATTAGAAAAGCAGAGTATTTTAAGGCACACCATTACCATTTGATAGGGGGAGGTATCAATATACCCAACAATTGAACTTGTTGCTGATTGCTGTTGTAGTCACAGACCAATTCAGAAAGATATTTTCAGCTCCCAAGGTAGGAAGAATAACCACCTATGGTTGAAAACACGGGTATTTAGTAGGGACCCTCATAAATGTATCCATTTTTGTAACATTATTACCATTGGGTTTTCTCCCGTTGGCCCTATTAGGGAGACTACTGTGGGCCTCAGGCCTGGCTTAGACTATCACACATGGCTTCCCTCCCTAGGAGGGGGCATAATAGCCGCTTGCTAAATTCAGGCCTTGCAAACGGTATCGACTCTATGACTGCTCTACAGGTATTGGTGCTGCCTCATGTTGATATTGTAAGCCTCTTAGATTTCTATCAAGTATAGCTGGAACCACCTCCCTTCTGGTAGTCTTCATGGCACTCCCCACTGCCGTAAAACCAATCTAGTATGGGGGCACTGTCCAGCTCAAATTCAGGTTCACATAGCCATCGCCACTTGGCAGATCCATTGGTGTTCTCAGGAGCACAGTCTGGCCACCTGCTTCAGGAGCATGGCTTGGAGTTTCAGAGGTAACCCTGAGGGTTTGTCAGGCCTGTTTTAAAGGCCATGACAAACCTTCATAGGGAGTGATGCCATGTGTGGTAGTAGGTGACTTATTTTAAGTTTGTATCCCTTTAGGGAGATTCTTAGTCCAGGGCCTTAAAGAGCACTCCTGGAACAGTACTGGCAATTCGGTTTTTAACAGGTCATTTTTTTTTTCTTCAATGAGACTGCGCATGTTGGGTTATATGATAAATGGGACTTCCAGTCTATATTTTGTTCTAGTGCTCAGTGTTGGATACGTTCTTTCTAGACCCATCAGCGTACCAGGCCCTAGAGTTATTAGTGGGGTCCCCATATGGTGGTTGGCCTGGTAGGTGGCTCCACTGCCATGCTGGCCCCCTCCCCGCATTCAGAGTGGATAGGTCCAAGCACTTCCTGCAGTGCTTGAAGGACTAGTGATCAGGACACTCCTTTGTTATAGATAAGTGTGTCATTTCTGCAGGGTGTGTAATTATGCCACCCTGGAGGTGGGCTTGGCTAGGAGGCCTTCAACTCGCCCTCACCCTTTTATGGGATTTTTATTGTGACAGACTGTTTTTGGTGATGGGCTCCACTTGTTGCATTGCCCTATACATGGCCAGTAGTCGTTGCTCTAAGACTGTATGGTGGGATTCTGCCTCCTTCCATAATTGAGACCAAAACCCTGCAGGTACCATTCTCATTGGTTATTTTTGCCACAAATCGCAATATATCCCTTTGGCATCTCTGGTGACTTCTAATACAAAAGAGTGCTGTGGCAGAGAGGCCCCTAGTGCTTGGGCCGGTTTCACCAATATGTTTGGTTCATCAAATACCTCTTGCTCTATATGTGTCCAGTGATGATTTTTTTTCACTTTTTATTTATTGGGGTGTATAATGGGTAGAGGGTTTATACCAAGTGAGGAATGAGTATCTTCTAGCAGCCCAGTAAGTATAGGAATACCTGGAGTTAGTTTTCTGTCTGGGGAACAGGCTGCTGTGTGCCATGTTACCAGTGACAGCTTAGAGTATGTTACATGTCTTACCCAAGTGGGAACTCTCAGGAATTTGATGACTGTGCTCAGCCCCTGTATCTTTTGGGGATTACCTTCCCATTTCCTGTCTTTTACGCCATCCATGACTATTTGTAGAGCAGTCTCCTGATTTGTAAGAGACTCTGAGGTTAGCATGTTATCATTAATATAGTGAAACAGGGAGACTGAGGTGGGCAAAGAGAGTCTAGACAGGTCCTGTGCAACCAGACTGTGACAGACAGTGGGGATGTGCAGGAACCCTTGTGGTAGCTCCTGAAAAGTCCACTGTAGGCCCTCCTAAGCAAAGGCGAACTGGTCTTGTGAATCTTCTGCTAAAGGGATACTAGAAAAGGTATTAGCCCAAGTCATTCACAGTGTGGATGCTTTCCAGCCTAAGGACCACTTGTTTTAACAATTGAGCAATATTGGATACGGCTGCATGTACAGGGGGCACCACATTGCTTAGGTTATGATAATTTCCCGTCATTCTCTAGATGCCATCTGGCTTTTTCACAGGACACATGGGACTGTTGAGAAGGGGGCTTTGGGCTGACCTGACAATTTGTATCTTACATAATTTCTGGATTGTTTGGGTGGTTTTAGAGTGTCCCCCTGGCAGATAATATTGTTTTACATTTACTGCCTGCCTTGGCCGGGGCAAGTGTACAAGCATCCATCTCCTTTTTGTTTCCTGATTACCTTATGGACTCAATCCTTGTCTTTAGCTCAATGAGGTCTGCCAGTGCTTTCCTCCTATCACAGAACTGATTTCCCATTAATGGGCTCAGAAGTGTGACCAATGCCTCATGTCGTAACCCTTTTTACATTGGAAATGACCTAGACATTTAATGAGTTCCTAAAATAATTTTAAGCTTTTGAAGTACATAAAAGTTTCTCCTGTAAGCATTTATCTCATTTACATTTACTCAATTTATTTATCTTTAACAGTTTATCTGTATTATTCATGATAACCTAGACATTAGACAAAACTAGTCATCATTCCAAGTTATTCTCCTGTTAACCATTTGTGTAGCCTGTGAATATCAGGTGTTTACCTAAGCAAGAAGTTTAAACACATGGGCATCTTTGCTGGTGATTCAGAAAATTCAGCTGTTCTCACTTAACCAATAGTATCAAATTAGTCTTGCTTATCAAAATATCCAACAGACAAACATCCAATAGCCTTTATCTCAGAACTCTAGTCATGAGAAAGCATCATAAACTCATTATTTTATAAAAGACAGCTGGATCTAAATTATTTCTAACAAAATTTGGACCTGTTTACATGGTTTGCTAGCCTCAATAGGTAATCTAATGACGGCTATGGACCAAAATTTTGAGTAAGGCAGTTGCTATAGCAGTTGTATTCTAAAAACCTCTTTTACTTTTTATTTCCTTTAGCTTCAAATGGTTTCAATATTTACATTTAGCTAGAACTGACTGAACTGTATAAGAAAAACAAAATCAGCCAGGTGTGGTGGCTCAAGCCTGTAATCCCAGCACTTTGGGAGGCCAAGGCAGGCAGATCACCTGAGGTTAGGAGTTCGAGACCAGCCTGGCCAACATGGTGAAACCCCATCTCCACAAAAACACAATTAGCCGGGGGTGATGGCTCATGCCTGTAATCTCAGTTACTAGGGAGGCTGAGGCACGAGAGTCCCTTGAACCCAGGAGGCAGAGGTCGCAGTGAGCCGGGATCATGCCACTGCACTCCAGCCTGGGTGACAGAGTGAGACTTCGTCTCAAAAAAAAAAAAAAAAAGAAAAAAAAAGAAAAGAAGGAAAAAAGAAAAATAAAATCTCCAAGTGGCCTTGAATTGGCAGTAACATTGAGTTTTATCTCAAGACCAGTAGTTTAAAAACAGCAGATTCAAAGCAGATAGAAAAGGAAACAGAGGGCCGGGCGCAGTGGCTCACGCCTGTAATCCCAGCACTTTGGGAGGCTGAGGCGAATGGATCACGAGGTCAGGAGATCGAGACCATCCTGGCTAACACGGTGAAACCCCGTCTCTACTAAAAATACAAAAAAAAAAAAAAAAAAAAAATAGCAGGGCGTGGTGGCGGGCGCCTGTAGTCCCAGCTACTTGGGAGGCTGAGGCAGGAGAATGGCATGAACCCGGGAGGCGGAGCTTGCAGTGAGCCCAGATGGCGCCACTGCACTCCAGCCTGGGTGACAGCACGAGACTCCGTCTCAAAAACAAACAAACAAACAAACAAACAAAAAAGGAAACAGATAGCTTTAAAAGATTTTACTTAACTCTATACTTGTAGGTTAACCGTTTGAGCGCTGATTTGTTGTTGTTGTAACTTGCTCATCAGTTAAATTATGTTCACAAGAAAGGGCCGTAATATGTAACAATCTGGAGTTCTAGAAAACCTGTCATGCGTTCAGTCTTTTGCAGGAGTTTCAATCCTTTCTCCCTTCCCTGCTCTCAGTAGCCAGCCTTATTGCAACAACAGCACATTTGGTATTCTTATGGTTAATATCGTAGCTTTTTGCAATAGGTGCCCAGTCCCCACTGGCATTTTCCAAGTGTCCCCATACTCATCTGGCAACCCACAGAAGTCAAGCAGCGAGGCAACTCCACCCCACAGGCATGTTGCTGACCACTCCAGGATTTCCCCCACAGATGCTCCTTCCCAGTGACTCATCGCTTACTCTCTACGATCCTTGTCTGTATACCAACCGTTACACAAAACCTTGGTGATGTAACGTGTCCTGCTCCCAAAGTAGGAAGGAGCTCAGAGACCAAAGAATGACTTGGACAAGTCCAGTTTGATGTGTTCTTGAGTTTATTAGGACTTACATACAAGGCACTCCTGGATGGCAACAGGAGAGCTTTCAAGATCCTCACTGCCTCCTGTCTCCAAATTGCTTTTCAGCTAATTTTCTGGCTCTTTGTCTACTATGGTTTAGCAATGAGACAGTTTTGCTTGATAGCATCTCAGATACTCTCCATAATGTTTGGGGTCTGACACCTGCTCCTAGGCTGGGTATCGTGTTCTTGGCCCCCCACCCACTTGAACCTAGCCTGATCCAAGCAATGGACATATGCCCTTGAGTAACCTGGTGGGGGAGAGTTTATACTGCATACATTTTGAGAATTTATATTTTTGTCCTTTTATATTTATTAGTTTCTAACTTCTCAACTTAAATGTTGGACTATTAATATTAAGACTTCTAATACAGTCATTTGAGGACATACATTTCTTTGTCAGTACTGACTTGGTAATATTTCCCAAGTTTTGACAATAATATTGTAATTATTCAGTTTGAAACACTTACTAATTACAGTTATTTAGAATTTGGCTCATGGCTTATTTTAAAGTTTTTAAATTATAAACATAAAAATTAGTTACTTTTTGTTTTTCATTTCAAAATTAATTATGCTGTGGCCAGATAAAAAGTTTTGTAATTTCCATGATGTAATATGTTAAAATTTGCATTATGCCAGAATTATAACCTGCCTTGTAAAATATTCAGTTGAAAAGAAGTACTTTATGGCATATTGTTGGACTAAGGGTTCTGTGTAGGACCAGTATGCTAACACTGATGATAATGTTTTGTTTCATTATTTACTTTTTTGTTTGTACTACTGAGAAAGCATTTTATAATCTCCTATTAAGATTCAGGATTTGACAATTTCTTTTTGTTCTTTGGTCCAATGTTGCTTTGTGTTTTGAAAATCATACATTCATAATGATGCAAAATTTGAAATAGATTCACGGTGATTCTAGTTTTTGTCGTTATGGAATAACACCTAATAGATATATTAATGCTTTGTAACTACAGGTATACCAGTACAGTTTCATTTGGTATTTGCATAATATATCATTTCTTATCTCATCAATTTAATTATTTTTGAATTTTATGTTTTAGTCTTGTGTGATATAAACTACCAATGATTGGATTTGGTTTTATATCCAGCTAGATTATAATTGACTTTTAACCTGGAGTGTTTAGTCCATTTGTATTTAGTGTAATTAGTGACATATTTGAGTATTTAATCTCCTTTTCTACCTCCTTTTTTGTTTTGTTCTCTTGCCTTGTAGCATTTTTTGGATTGCATGTTGTTTTTATTAATAGTGTTTTTAAACATACTAATTTAGATTCTTCTATTATTTTAGTAGTTATGCCAAAAGAAAAAGTAAAAATTTGATTTACCAAAGTCTATTACTTTGTATCTTAAGATGGTTGGGGATAATGCAACCTCAGAATGCATAACCTCTAATTTATTCTTTTCCAAATTTATATTCCATTACTTATGGGCATTTTATTTCTCTATATTTCTCAAACTACGACATTATTATTGCTTTTTATATTCAGTACTTCTTACATCTACTCATATTTTTCCACTATAATTAAAAAGAATTCCTTCCCATGTCTCTGATTTTTGAGCTGTCTTCATTTCCTTTTTTATGAAAATAGTCCTTTATAATTTTCTTCACATAAATTTGTTCATGATTCGTTCTCTCAGGTTTTATTAGTCTGTAAATATCTTTGGCCATTCAACCTTGGATGATAATTTTGCTAGACATAAAATCCTAGAGATTGGCATTTAAAAATTTTTTTCTTCTAGGGCATTGAAGACACATTTTATAGGTTGAATGATATGCCCCTCAACCCACCCCAAAATTAATATGTTGAAGTCTTAACCTTCAGTACCAGAATGTATCCTTATTTTGGTATAGGTTCTTATTTGGCAATAAAAATATCCAAGTTAAAATGAGATTAATAGGGTGGACCATACAATATGACCCCTGTCCTTGCAAAAATCAGGAAATTTGGACACACAGATCCATCAAAAGGGAAGATGATGTCAAGAGATATTGGAAGAAAAGAAGTCCAGAACAAATCCTTTTCTCAGAGCCTTTAAGATGGAAGCATTTATGCTGACACCTTTGTTTTAGACTTCTAGCCTCCAGAATTGTGAGACAATACGTTTGTATTGTTTAAGCCACCCAGACTGTGGTCTTTATTACAGCAGCCCTGGCAAGGCACACCATATTCCACTATTTTATTTCCGTTTCATATTGAGAGGTCAGTATTAGGTTAAATATTGCTCTTTGAAGGTAATTTATCTTTATTTTCTCAGTGTTGTTTCTTTTTTATTTTGGTGTTCTGCATATTCACTAAGATGCGCTTAGGTGGGGATTTTATTTCTTGGGAGTAGGCTGGGCATACATTGAACTTCTTGAGTTTGTGTCTTTCATTATTTCATTATGAATTTGTGTGTTTCATTCAGTCTCCTCTCTGTCAGGAATACCAGTAAATTTAAATTAGAAGTACATGTATGATCAAGTGTTTCAGCTACAGTTGTTGAACACATTTTCTTCTCCAGAAAATTGTTTGGCATCCTTGTAAAATAATCAGTTGAACCATGTACATGTGACTACATGCATTGAGTCTGTTTATGGACTCATTATTCTGATAAACTGATGTATTTTCTATCGTTATGCAATATCACAGTGTCTTGATTAATGTAGTTTGATAGTATGTCTTTAAAACAGGTAAAGTGTTTCAATTTTGTTCTTTTTAAAGATTGTATTAACTATTCCAGGTCACTTACCTGTCTGTATAATTTTTAAGTTAAGTATGAAAATTGTATTGGATTGGATTTATCTATTTATTCTATATATTTTGTTTTACTTTTCATGTTGTTTGAAACTCTATTTTTCATTATTATTCTCATTACAAAGTAGCTTTTTAAAACTCTTTATCCTCCTTGATTTGAGGTTTACTTAGCAGTTATTAATATAACCATTCTAATATCTTATTAAAAGGTTTGCAGTCATGTATGTTAGCATGTCTGTTTTTATATTTCAAATATATCTCTTGTAAGATTTGTAAACTTTAAATTTTTGTTTTTGTAAGAATTTTATGGCAGTGTTTAGTGTCTGTCCATTTATATTTAAAATGCAATTATTGATATGTTTCCATTTGTCTATCATCTCGCTCTGTTTCCTGTACATCTCCTCTATCTTTTGTTTATTTTATCCTCTGTTCCTGCTCCATTTCATCAGTTGAGTACTTTTTAATGTTCAGTTTAATCTCCAGTATTGGCTTTTTAGTTAAGCCTCTTTTACTTGTTTCACAGGCTCATGGACGTTGTATTTATGCTTTTCCTAGTCTTCATTTATCTCTGCTGCTTCATTTGGAGAGTTGTTATACACACCTTTTCAAGTTCACTAATTCTTTCTTCTTCAGAAGGAATTATAATACGCGAATTTAGTCCCATTTGCTGATTTTTTTCACTTAACATATTGAATTTTTCAGCCCTATGCATTTCATTTTCCTTCTTTTTTCTTACATTTAAAATCAATTTCTTTGCTAGGATTCATCTTCTGTTCATTCATTATGTCCGTCTTCCTTTACATCTTTGAACATGTTTATAATAACTTCATATCTTTGCTAACTCTAGCATATGGAGCAAATCTGGGCCCCATTCTATTGCTGATTTTTCTCCTGGTTAGTGTCAATTTTCCCACATTTTTGCACATCTAGTAATTTTAGGAAAGAATAAACGTTGTTGTCTCTCTTAAAAAAAAAACTCTCAAAGCAGGAAGTTAGTTTATTAGCATATCAGCTTGCTCCTGTTCAAGTATGATTTTAGACTTTCTAGACTGAATCTAAAATAGTTATTATTTTACAGTCTAAATAGTTTTAGTTCTAAACTGTGGCACTCAGGGGCCTCAACTTCATGTCCAGGGTGCTTAGGGAAATACCAACACTCTGGTTGGAAGCCCAACATCTAGAATTTTGCATTGATAACCTTTGTTCATCTCACACATTCCCTAGTAGTCTTTATCTAATAATTATCATATGGTATCATCCTGTCCATGTACAATGCAGCCTTTTTACAAAGATTGAAGAGTGCTCCTATAAGTTTTCTGGAGAGCCTTGTAAGCTCAGCTCCCTTTCTCCGTTTCATTGCCCCACAAATTCTGTCCATATCAATTTCCTGAAATCTCATCTCTCCTCCTGCTAGCTGCCAACACCGATGGGCTCTATTTCCCTGTACTGTGATTTGCAAATGGTCCTTAGGAAAACGATGTAATGAATGTGGAGTACACGTTGTATTTCTTTGCCTCAGAGATCACCATCCTGTTGTCTTTTGTCTAATATCTGAAAGACAATTACAACAAACATTTTGCCCAGTTTTATAACTGTTTACATGAGAAAATAAGTCCAAGATTCATTTTTCCACCATGGCCTTTGAGAGGCATGGCGCCGTTCGTGCTGTTAACCAATAATCCTTTCAGTTTAGCAGTGGGATTATTCATTCCTGCATGTCTAAAAACAGACCAGGCAATGTAATTTTCATTTGCTAATGAAATAAAATGTGATGTGTTCCTTCCAAATGAAAGGTGAGGCAGTGCTGAGTTGGCCATATCCCTTTCTCTTGTTGCCACAATCTTGAAAGACTGTGTTGAGATAAAGCCTTCATCATTTGAATTTGTAGGTGATTACAGTAATTAAAGCATGTTTGCTGACCCATGCTGGAAATGGGCATGAACAAAAAATAAGTCTTTGTTGTGTGGAATTTGGAAGATTATTCTCTTGCATAAAACACTAGGTCATCATTTGTTATATAAGAGCTTTAATGCAAATACCTTATCTGGTCATCTTTTTCAGAAACCAGACTTTCTGTGATACTTCTTTGGGAACCACAAATAATACTCTTCAAAGCAAGCAATTCTAAGCATTCCATATACACTAGCTATAAAAAAAATAGTAACGCAGTTGCCTAAGATATTGTAATGAAACAGTTATATAATAGGATTTTTTAAATTGTTAATTTTGACATTTATTCTTGTTCAGCATTTAATTCACTGATTTATGACACTAAAAGCATGTTTCCACTAAATGAATTTCAGAAACAAGAAATCTTACTGTTATCAAGATGAAACATAGAATAATTTTTATATAAAAACTAAATGTCAATAAGCATAGCTTAGATATCCTTATTAAAAGGCATAAGTGGTAGGATAAATAAATATATTAGGAGGTACTCAAGAAAAGATAGAAACTCTTTGATAACATTTTAATGAGATAATACATTCTCCATTTAAAATGGTTTCTGTATACGATTTTTTATGTTAGAAAATGTAAATATATGTACTTTTAAAATGCCTTTCAGTATGATATTTAAGTGATAAATATTCAAAATAGAATATTTTTAAAATAGAGAAAAAATTTGAAATTTCATGTGGAACTTGTACTGAATTGGTACTAGGAGATTATACTACCAGTTGAATACATCTGCAGATTTTACTTCTGCAACTAAACAAGTTATGTTACATATAGTTTAGAGGAAAGATGCATAAAAATAAATTAGAAAACTTTGCACCAACTCTTCATAATTGTGTTTAAAGTGCAACATGAAGATCTCTTTTTAAGATGTTATTTGAAACAAAATATCAGAAAATGCATGGTAGAAAGAAAAATGAAGTATGAACAACTTATGCAAAACTACCCTGATACATGTGTCAAAATGTAGCCGAAGACCAGGGATGATAAATGAGAAAAAGAAAAAAATTCTGAGGTGTTAGTTTTTTTTTTTTTTTTTTAATGAAACACATATTAGAAATAAAAAGTAACAAGATGCAATGCAAAACATTTTAGTAAAATATTTTCAAGAAATGGGTTTGCAACTTCCACCTTCTACCCACATACCTTCCATAAATTATACAGTAACATTTTTGACATTAACAACTGCCAAAATGAATTTAGCGAATGTGAGATTACCAGAAGACACTAGGATTATTATCCTTTTTTTCTTCAAAAGTAATGACCTGAAATGCAGTTAATCACAATCTCCTTTCATTCCTTAAGTATTCATTGATTCTACACTTGCATAATAATTCTCATAGTATTTGTTCATTGCATGTGACATGCCATTTTTTGTTTCTATTTTTTTCTTAACGAGTCAAAAAGGACGTGTACCTATTTGAATGACTATGAGGTGTAAAAAATATTTACAAAATAACGTCTCACCCGTCAACTTTGTTCTAGCTACAGTTTGGAAATATTGCCATTTTATGTTTGTATACAATGTAAAAACAATATTTTGTACATATGTTGTTCCATTGGGACCCTTAAATAAAACAGTGGGTTGAGGCCATCTGCATTCACTTCTCTTAGACAATGTAGTCAATAGAAGTGGATAGAGAGATCATTTTTACCTTATCCTCTTAAAATTCATAGAGGCCAGGCCCAGGAATGAATATCACATTCCTGGTGTTAGTTTATTAAATGGCTTGCTAGGTAGTCACACAATTCCTTTATTAATATTATTATTTTAGGAATAAAAAGATCTAAGAATACAAGTGTTAGAAATATAATATTTATGCCATTAAGATCAGGTTTGAAATTGTCTAAATAGAAATGTAGTTTACCTAATACAAAGGCTATGAGAAAATTCACCTCAGAATGTTTTTGTACCTTTCCTCACAGCATTACTTCAGGAAATGCTAGAGCATATTTTTTCTTTTAATTAAATACTGAGGATTTGTACGTGTGGATTCGGTGCGGGGGGAGATGCAGTGATTGTTGAAAGTGGAAGATTTCTAAAACTTCTATTTAATAAAGGTTAAGATGAGAGATACAGAGAATAATATATGAAAACTCAAAGAATAAAGGAAAAGTAAAAAAAAAAAAAATCAAGTGAAAGAACCCAATTTAAAATTTACAAAGTATTCAAGTATTCCTGGGGTGTTTAACTTACTGATTCAAGTAATAGGAAAGTTTGTTTCTGACTCCATCCAGCTGTTTCAGCAATTTCTCCAAGAGTGTCTTTCTATGCTGGTCTCTGCCTTTCAGCCCTTTCTTTCTTTTTTCACTAACTGGATGAATTCTCAAGCAGACTGCATCCATATGGAGGTACAGCTAGCCTTAAAAGCTCCAAGTTTATATCATGCTCGGTACCTATAGTCTTACAAAAATATGCCTCTTTTTCAAAACTTGTATCAAGAGAGTGTTGGAGTCAACTGCTTATGCTTGAATCAATTGCTTTGGTCAGAGAAAATAATGCTCATAACAGAACTGGACAATTACTAGCGAAAGATAGCCAGCCCCACATACCCCTGTGGACTGGCTACAGGAAGTGTGTTGTTGGTAAAGGAGATGGACATGGGTGACAAAGGAGGTAGGAAGCAGCAGAGGGATGTCCTGGGAGCCAGTGAGGCAAAGATTTCCAGGAAAAGTAAATGAAAGTGTGTCAGATTCTCCTAAAAGATCAAGTAAGGTAAAAAATCAAGGATTGGCCCCTTAATTTACTGACTTGGAAGTTACTGGTAATACTGACGAGATAATGCCTGATTGGAGTTGGCTTTAAGGAGACTACGAATGGAGGAATTGAAAATGGTGTTCAATAAGATGCTTTCAAGAAGGTTGTCAGCCAAGGGTCTTAGGAGGATGGGGTACTGGGAGCAGGGGGAGACAGTAGCTGGCAGAGGAAGGAAGAGTCAACATACATTCTTCAGAAATTTATTTTTAATTTTGTTATACATCATTAGCAAAAAAGTTCCCCCAAATATTAATCTTGTGGAATGTCAAGTTGTACCTTCTCCAGGAGGTATAAAAGTTAGGAATATAATAGAGCCACACAAAGACTCCCTTAGCTCTTAGAACTTAGCACTTAGGACTTAGTACTCAAACAGCCTTGGCTTGAATCCTAACTCTAGAGTGCATTACGTATAACATATTAGGAACATTTCTTAAATCTTAGTGCCTTGGTTTCCTCATCGGTCAAATAGGGATCACCTCCCATGATTGTTATGAGGATTAAATTAATTAATTTATATTTGTAAAATGCTTCCATTGCTGCCTAGCATATAGTAAGTCCGCTAAATGGTTAACTTGAAGTTTTGTTTGGAAAATCTAGGGACAAAGTAAAGAAAAAGTAGGCAATTCCTTTTCCAGGGATCTCATATAACAGATTTTCTGCAAATGTTGCACAATGAGTTCTTAATGACTAGCATAGGGTAAAATAAAAGAACTCACAATGCGTATTAGTCCGTTTTCACACTGCTAGTAAAGACATACCTGAGACTGCCTAATTTATAAAGAAAAAGCGGTTTATGGACTCACAGTTCCACGTGGCTGGGGAGGCCTCACAGTCATGGCTGCAGGCAAGGAGGAGCAAGTCACATCTTACGTGGCAGCCGGGAAGATAAGAGCTTGTGCAGGGAAACTCCCCTTTATAAAACCATCAGATCTCATGAGACTTATTCACACTCATGAGAACAGCACAGGAAAGACCTGCCCCCATGATCCAATTACCTCCCACTGGGTCCCTCCCATGATATGTGGGAATTGTGGGAGCTACAATTCAATATGAAATTTGGGTGGGGAGACAACCAAACCATATTACAGTGTATATTTATATTTATATTTCATGAAAGCAGCTTATTTTGTTTTGTTTTAAACTTAGTTTGTTGTTGGTTGGTTGACTGATTTGGCCCACAGCAATTCTAAACCAGGAATTTCTGAATATAGAATTTAGTTGGTAATTTTGAATCTCATTTTTGTTTTCCTTGTGGAAATTTTGAATCTTTTAGTAATACTATTCTTCAAGGCCTTGAAAATACTGACAGGCATCTAAGATTAAAGTGAAGAGTTATATAGAAAAGAAAGGATGATCATGACAAGTTTGAGGAAGACACACTAGAAACAAGCAGCTATATCCATTTTTATCTTTGTTTTGTTTTCCTTGAATTACTGCTAAATAGTACCAAGAGGAATCTTGAAAATATATATTTGAGCCTCTTTGAAGATTTTTATGTAATAGAAGAAAAATTTCCAATTCATGTATTTGACCGATGTACTGTAGAACATACAAAGACCAGTATTTAAATTACTGAATTATCTCTCTTTGTCAGCCAAAGATGACTTTGGCTGTTGATTAAGACTGCAACAGATGTGAATGTTCAAAAAAAGTGATGGAGCCATCTCTGAGAGAAGCAAGAAATTGGCTTTATGCTTGTCCTTGGTGATGGTGGTGGTTTGTTCTTTTAAGAATGTATATAGAACATTTAAAAAAGTAGAGAAAATATTTGCACATATATCTAATACTCCAGTCTTTTTATGGAACCTATTATTTTGCTTACATCTTTTTTTTTCTTGCCAATTCTCTTTCCTTCTTCTATCCTTGACTTCTCTTTGTTGATTGTGAGTTTATTGACATAAACTTTCTCAGAGATGTTCCTAAGGAAGTGTTTAGTCTTGGTACTTTAGTTAGCAAGTTGGTGTTTAAGATGACTAAGAAAATATAGCACTACCCAGATAATCCCATCACCTATGATCTACTTGTTAAGGAATCAGAGCTCCTTACCCAGAGTCATCTAGACACATTGCTTTCCTGCAACACTGGCAGCATCATTGGTGGATTAAGATTGAATGGGGCATTGTTGCTTCTCTAAGTAACTGAATCCTGCCTTGACCTATCTTAGAGAACATGTGATGTTACATGAAAAACAGATAAGTAACACAGTGCATCTTAGAATATAATAAAATCAGTTTCATAAAGCCTAATATATTAACTTTAAGCATAAATATCCCTAATAATTGACTATATCCCCAAGAACATATCATTTTCCATTTGCAGGAAAGAAAAGCAATGTATAAATGCAATATATTCAAAATTATTTTCTGATTTAGAATATTTATGTACTATCAATGCATTGCTAATTGCTTGTAATTTTGCCTTCTGTAATTATGCTAATATGATGAATAAAGTGTAGTCTGCAGTATGAATTTTTATATCTCTTTTTCAATTAGATGACTCTGCATGCATTTATTTATGGCTTAGATGCATCTCATCTATGTGCGTAAATATTTTCTTGTTTGCTTATTTGCCTTTGCTTATTTACATTTAATGAATTAAGGTTTCACCTCACTTCACCATATCCAGACACCTCTCCACTTATTTTTCTAACAGTTTATATGTCATGCAATATAGCATGTTTATGTTAATAATGTATCTTTCATATAATGACATTAAGTGTTATGCCAAGAAAAGTCTTGGTATTATGTGTGTGTGGGTGTGTGTGTTTAATGTTGTCTAATGTACATCTATGCCATTAAAGTCAGCGATATATTTTGAGAATCAATTATGCTCAGCAACTGAGTATATTTGAAGGAAGCAATGTACTGTAAATATTGAGGTTTTATGTGTAAGATATCTATAATACCTTTCAGGCAGTTCAGGGTTAATGTGTGCCTGGGTCCCTCAGAGTAAGTCACATGTATTAACACATTGGCCTCTGGCACAGTTTTTTGAACATCACCCAATAGTTGGATTACTATGGCTCATTGTCGTCTATGGCACAAAATAAGATTAGACTATGATTAGAACAAATCACACTCAAATGAATACAAGCTGTCGAAATAATGTTTTCAAGATCAAATGCAACAACTATGACCAAGGACAATAGGTCTTCAATGGTTTCCATATTTTCATTAAATTATATAAGGAAAGGTATTTATTTAAAAATTTTTAAAAAGCATGAATTCTATTTTTAAAAATCTGTTATTTTAAACTTTACAGCCCAAAAGTTTAACATTAGTTTTAATCTTACTTAGCATAGCCCTAGTTGAAGCTTTTCAAATTTTTATGTGGTCCTGGAAGCATGTATGTAGTTTCAGAATATTAAAAAAAATACATATGGCTTTTGGAGAAATTAGCTTACATGTTATTAGGGTTTTAAATTATTTTTTCTCTTGATGAATGCTCCTCAGCAGCTATGATGATGGGGAGGAGTAAGTTTTTGCAGCCTATTGGCTAGCACTGGGAGTAGTGCTGAGGTGGGGTTAGGGACCAATGAATGGATGAAAGCTTAAGTATTCATTCATCTATTTAATATTCATCTACTGGTGCTACTAGAAGCGACACATCTCCCAATTTAAGGATGTTTTGGAATACAAAGATGATGTCCTGCTTTGAGCTCCTGGGTGTCATATATCTAATAAATAAAGTGAATACATAAAGACAAATGAAAAGAACTATGCCCCACATGTGTGATTCCTACTTCCCTGACTCAGCTGGGTTCTATCTGATAAGAGCTTTTAATATAAATAGAAGAGGAGGAAGGTTTCCTATCTTAATAGGAGCGGGAACTATAGATCCATATGCCAAAAGTGTTATGTCCAAAGAAATTTGGACATAATATGAATTATGGGAAGATGAATTACTGCTGGCCATTATCTCAAATTTCTTCCTCCTCAGTTAACATTCACCTTCAAGGCCCAGTTAGATTTTCTTGCCAAAGCCTAATACTCAAACTAATTGTGTTTTCTAAATATGGAAGCTGGCTTTGAGTTTTGTGTATAGATCAGTGTGTAGAATTGGCCAGTAAGTTGGTTTTGTAATTACATTTATTTAATACCGTTTTTCAATAAATCAGGAAAATTATTGATTGGAAGATACATTAGGTACCACTAAGGAAATTATATATATAATTTCAAGATGTACTATAAAATGGATTAAAATTCACTTATATTAAAGGGTAGAAAACATCAATATTAGAATCTATGACATGTAGACTAGCTAAAGATTCATAATTGAATAATGCTTAACAAGTCCTCCGTGATGTAGCAAGCATGGGTACTATTGTCTACACTGCAGAGGTAAGGCATGAGAGTCACTCAGTCCACAAGTACTTATTAAGCATCCAGCAGGTGCCAGGTATGATGCCAAGGTTTCAGCCTGCAACAGAGAACAAAGCAAACATTGTCTCTTTTTGTGGATATGTGAAGGGCTCTTAACTGGCTAAACTCACATGCTATGTCAGACATCCAGAGGTCACCTGTATGCCTAACCAGCCTAGCACAGAAGTACATTCCCAAATTAGCCTCCTGAAAATGGTGACAATTTAAAGATACTAACTCAGATGCAAAACATACAGCAGAGATAAACAAATTAAATAATATATGCATTTCTAGTCTATTTCCAAAAAATACATGTTAATGGTTTCCTGCATACCAGTTTCATTTTTAAACCTTTCCTCTGACCATAGGAGCTGATGCTGTGGAAGCTCAGTGTAAAAGATTTGAAGTGAGAGCCAGTGAAGATGGCAGGGTGCTGTTTTCTGCAGATGAAGATGAGATTACCATTGGGGCTGAAAAGCTGAAAGTTACAGGTACTGTAGATGGAGGTCTTGAAAAATTGTTTACTTCTTTAAAGAATATACAACTGCACAAGGAGCTTCTTAATAAGATGGATGATTCCTATGCCTAAAGTAGAGTCTTACATAATCACAACGTTTGTTCTTCAAGTAGCCTTCAAATGGAAGGCACTGGTTGTGGTTGTAGAAAAGAATGCAAATATTAGCAGCCTCAATGACATAAAAGTAAAGCCATCTCTCAGGTGGAGGCAGGGGGAAGAAAATGATGTGGCTGGGCGGGGTGGAGATGAAATGCAAATTCTGAGTAAAGGGGACTAACAAATAATAATTTGGGAGTATTATTTTAAAATAAAAGACGTGCGAAGGAACTAAAATGGAAATTTTAACTTTAGAATTAAGTAAGGGGGAAGTTATAATAAAAGTAAACTAAATTAATTTTATATGGCTTTCATAATTATCCTCAAAAGTATGTAAATAAAAAACTAATGCTATACACATATTATTTAAAAGTCATTATTATAATATTGGGGTCACTAAAGTCAACCACCAGCTGAAATTAAAATTTTAAAAAAGGTAAAAGTGGGACCAGGATTGGGGAATAATTTGATGACAATTTTAAGCACAATCTCTTCTGAATTACTTGATTCACAACCATGACAAATTTTATTTTGATAACACATTTAACAATCCCTTGAAAGTACCCAAGGAGGTCTACATTTTAAAAAACAAGAAGAAAATAATAAAGTATATTTGACTTCATGTTTCCCAAACTTGAGTTTGGAAACAGCTCATGCGTATCTATCCATATTAATTTGGGTCAAACAGTCCTGTGGGTCAGGTGAGGGCAGTTAGCATGGCAATTGAAGAACATCAACTCTGTTCTTGGGTTGTTTGGGTTGAATCCTGCCTCTGCCTCTCCATATATTCAACTCTAGATGCCTCTGATTTTCCCTCATCTGAATGATTGAAATGATAATAACTTTAGTGGTCAAATTAAATGCATGTGTGTGTAGTTGTGTGATGAGAATGTGCTCAGTACATAATGAAGAGGTTGTGTTGGCTCTTTATATTTATTAATGATGATAATATTGATACTGCAAATGTCAGAGACAGGAGGGCCTGTGTTGATTTCAAGAAAGGTGTATTAAACTAATGCAGGAATAGAAAGCCAAACACCACATGTTCTCATTTATAAGTGGGAGCTATAAATGATGAGAACACATGGACACATAGAGGGGAACAACACACACTGGAGCCTGTAAGCGGGCGGAAGTTGGGAGGAGGGAGAGTATTAGGAAAAATAACGAATAAGTATTAGGTTTAATACCTGGGTGACAAAATAATCTGTACAATAAACCCCCACGACACAAGTTTACCTCTGTAACAAACCTTCACATGTACTCCTGAACTTAAAAGTTAAAAAAAGTGTATTGGCTGGACATAGTGGCTCATGCCTATAATCCCAGCACTTTGGGAGACAGAGGTGAGAGAATCGCTTGGTTCAAGTCCAGCCTGGGCAATATAGTGAGACCTTGTGTCTACCAAAATTTTTGAAAATTAACCAGGCATGAAGGTGTGTGTCCATAGTCCCAGCTACTCAGGAGGCTGATGTGGGAGGATGGCTTGAGCCCAGGAGGTCAAGGCTGCAATGAGCCAAGATCATGCCAGTGCAGTCTAGCACAAGTGACAGAGCCAGACCCTCTCTCGAAAGTAAAATAAAATAAAAAGATGTGTTATTAAATGGTGATGAAATTCAACAGGGATTATTGAATGGGAACCCTCACTGGGTATCCCCTGGCCTGAATCAAATCCTACCACCCTTACCCCTACGCCTGTCCCTCCTGTCCCTTGGGAGCAAGTTCTGCTGAGAGGGTGGAGCCTCCACCATTGGGTGAGTGTTTAGGATGGTCCCCATGAATACTCACCTGGTTGATGTCCATTTTTCTTAAGACTTCTTGGGAAGGCTAGGAAAGGAGGCACGTACGGAGGGTACAGATTGACCTTCTTGAGTCCTGAGTTAGGAGAGCAGGGACAAAGAGAGAGAAAGAGAGTTCTGTTTGTCATAGAACACAGACAAATCAGAAAGGACATTAGTTGTAGGGCCCTGAGCACTAACATTTGAATTGCTTGTTGGTGAGTAAGTGAGGTTCCTTAGGGTAGAAATGCCTTCAGGGGAACTGGGCAACATTAATAATCTTTGAACCCTGGTAATGCTTACTGGTCATCACTCTTGAGACCAACATAATCCTGAGATAAATTCTAGGACATTACACACTTATCAAAAATTTATTTAATCCATATTCCGATATTCTCATTGGGTACTTTACAATCATAAGTAAAGGGAGATTCTAGAGTTCTTGGCAGCTTTTACGATCTCATGGAATTTTCACTTCTTCTGATATTTGTATTACCTTTGCCTGTCTCATAATTGTTCCAGCGAAGTAAAGGCAGATGGTCACATTCATTTTCTGCTTTTGCTTAGTAGCCCCGATGCCATCCTTGAAATGTTGCTTGGACTAAGTGCTTCCTTAGCCCAAATTGGCAAGAAAGTGCTTCCTGAAAAATCTAAGTTTTTCTGCTTTTTAATTCAGTGCCTTAAGGCAGTTATCTATTCTCTCTCCCTTTATCTTTCTCTCTCTCTCCCTTCTTCCTCCTATTGCTTCTCCTTCCCCATCCCATGTGTGTGTAAAATGTGTCTATGTGTGTGTGATGTGTACATGTGACTTATGTGACTGTATGTATAGATATACATATATGTGTTTCACACTGGCTCTCTCTTTTCATTTCTTTCTCTGTCTCAAATATATGCACATAGTATTGCATTTATTCTTTATAATGTTCTCGATTGATCTATATTTTCCAATTATCTCAGACACCCCTACTTAATTAGAAGTCTATGTCATATACTTTCAGATGATCTTAATAAAATAATAAAATTACAAGCAGATTATTGTAAAAGGTTGGAACATAATACTTAGAATGAAAGAAACACCCACAAACTATGAGATTGCCCATAGCAAACAATGTTGACCTTTAACCTGATGCAGATGTACAATAGGGTGAATATTGGTAATCAATAAATGGTAAATTAGAGAATATTTCATTTGATTAGAACTGTCCTCACTATCCAATCACATTTCTGTGTCTCTTAGAAGAGCCCATTTACCACTTACACACCCTAGAGTCACAAACATACACATAGGCACATAGACAAACTAATTCTTGCCAGGACTTTACTCCTTACCAGAATAGCAGATATTAACTTTATAACAGCTTCATGCTTTCCCGTGATATTCCTTAAAGAAAGAAAAATAAAAATATCAAAGGCAAATATAATTTAGAATTTCATGTGCTTAGAGGAAAAAAATGTGCGTAGCATAGCATGCAGATTTAGAGCGTTAAGATTGACTAGTAACCTCACATATACTTTAAAGCAGTGCTTGAATCATTTGACAAATAACAGTACAAAGAGACATTGACTCCAGGGTGCTTCATATAAATTAGATACCTGTGCTGACAGGACTTCAAAGTTACATGTGATGACAGATATGTGTGAAGTTTATTCTAGAATTTCAAATTTGTGGCACAAATGTTTTCTATTTAAGCAATATTTATAGGAATTAAAATGGATGCCTTGCAGCTTTATATTTTTTGAGCAATGCCATTTTATAAAGGAACTTGTCTTTCAGGATGACTTCAGTGGATGGATTCATTTAGACAAGGGATGTGTCTGTATATCTGAGGCAAAGTCAGTTATGACTATAATGATTCACAGACCTAGCGTAGCTCATGATATTTACGTTCACTCTACCTACAAAGCAGCAGGAATTTACCTGATACATTCAGATACTCATGGGTGTGAGGACACAGAAGTAAAATGGTAAACACATACCTGAACACCACCATCTATCAATACCCCATCACCATAAAGAGCAATCACATGCTTAAGGTTTGTAATTTTCCACTCTTGACATTACTTGTCTTGCCCAGGAGAAGTTTGCTTAAATCTTAGTATAATGATACTTATTTGACCTTAACATGTCCTCTCTGTATCACTGAATATATAGGAGTTTTATACTTTAGCTCACCTATGCACAATTGAAAACTATATTTTTATTTTGTATTCCCTACTATTGGCCAAAGGTATGACTTAATTCAATTATCTTTTGAGACCTAGTCAACACAACAAAAAAAGGAATAAACCTTTACACACGGAAGTCTCTTAAATTTAATGCTTTCAGGCAGAATCAATCAACTGCAATCTGCAGTTTCATTCGTATTCCACATAGTATATTAACTTTAGAAAACAAATTTCACGAATAAGCCACTCTGCTTTAAAAAGTGAAAGACATCAGCCCCGTAGAATTGTTTCATGGTAAATTAAAAGCTATTAGTTAGACTTAGATCTAGACCTGTTTTTTTTCTATGATGTAAAAGAGGACAGCAGTTAAATATATCAAAAGAAAGCATATCTGCTTTTTTTTAGACAGTAGCAATTAAAACTAAAAACCTGAAAGAATCGTGAAATCCAACTCTGCATCTACCCAGTGCCCTAGCGTTTGTTTGAAAGCCAAGACTATCAGTCCTTTGCCTCCGTTCTAATTGAATGCTTGGAAGTCTAGGCAAGTTCCCATGTCTGTTTGACAACAGAAGAAAGGACTTTCTGAAGAGCTGTCTTTTAAATTAAACACCATGCTTCTGGGTTCCAATCAATATCTTCTGGTTTGTTTTTATTAGTTCATCTTCTACATCCTTGTTCTTGTCTATTAAATTGGCACACTGCGATGGGGTCAGCTTTGGACTCAACCTTTCTATTAGATAGGCCATTGTTCCTCTTCACTGTCCAAATGCCAAGAATGCGGTAACACTCCGGCAGCAGGATGGAGCCGCTTTGTTCAAACAACCCATGAAGAAATGTGATTAGATTAGGTGCTGAGAAAAGGAACGTGCAATCACTTCATTTTCTCTGCTGAAACTTTAAAGTTTGTAGACCTGGATCAGTCACTCAACTCAGTTTTCTAGTTGCTTTTTGAACTTACTGAAAATAAAAATTCCCAAGACACTAAATATTAGTACCACCCCACCTTCCCCTTAAGTCTCCAGGTGAATCCTGATTTCAGGTTTTGAAGTGTATAAATAATAAAGAATGCCATCTTCACAAAATAAGCTGTTTCCTCTAAGCACCTTACCAACGGTCCTCTTCATGATTTATTTTTTTAAGCTTTAAATATTTCATATAGTTTTGTGAAAGCAAAACTTCTTGAAAATATAATTAAATAACAGGTGAAATGGGAGAACAGTCATAAAAGAGGACAGTTCATTCCCCTGCCTCCACCTGCAGCCACCAAAAAAGTGGTTATATCAACTCACTTCTCTCTGTAGAGGTTTTAAAATTGTCCATTTGATGTTTAAAGTGTCTCTTATAGCTTTAGGTCTTAGACCCACAAAATCTCATAATTTATCCTGCCATGTATCAATGAATAGTCTGATTTCCTATATATCATGATATTAAAAAAATACATTACTGGCCAGGCGCAGTGGCTCATGCCTGTAATCCCAGCACTTTGGGAGGCCAAGGAGGGCAGATCATTTGAGGTCAGAAGTTTGAGACCAGCCTGGCCAACATGGTGAAACCCCCATCTCTGCTAAAACTACAAAAATTAGCCAGTGTGCTGGTGGGCACCTGTAGTCCCAGCTACTCGAGAGGCTGAGGCAGGAGGATCATTTGAACCCAGGAGGCAGAGGTTGCAGTGAGCCAAGATCCTGACACTGCACTGCAGCCTGGGCAACAGATTGAGACTCCATCTCAAAACAAGCAAACATAGAAAACTATATATATATAGAATATGGTATGCAAGACTTGGTCGTAGTTACTTTGTCTCCTTGCTGGCCATCATTCAGGGCCTGGTATTTGCACTGCTGGCTGCTCATGCGGACTTCTCATGGTTTCCAAATATCTAGCCTCCAGTAACAGTAAGTCAAATTCCTCTCATGGCTTGAATTTCTCCACTGTGATAGTGAATATTGTCAACTTGATTGGATTGAAGGATGCAAGGTATTGTTCCTGGCTGTGTCTGTGAGGGTGGTTGCTAAAGGGATTGACATTTGAGTCGGTGGACTGGGAGAGGCAGACTAACCCTCAATCTAGGTGGGCACCATCTAGTCAGCTTTTATAGCTGTTGGGAATACATTGCCAGGTTGCTCTGTGGAGATCGCATTACCCGGATACCTGGCTAATCCAGGATAAACTTCCTATTTTAAGGTCAATTTATTAGGAGCCTAAATTACATCTGCAAAATCTCTTTTGCTGTGTAGAATAATATATTCACAGTCTCTAGAATCTAAAGTATGAAAATCTTTGGCAGGACAAAAGAGGTTATTCTGCCTACTGTACTGTACAAAGTATGAATCTCTCTAGGCTTGTTTTTTCTTCTATTAAAGGACCATTATAAGAAGCACTTACCACATAGGGTTTTGATGAGGAAAAAAAAAAAGACATGTGAAAATAACTTAGGACCAAAGCTGGAACAATTTTGGCACAATTACCAGCACCCTGGATAATTTTTGTAGTTTTAGTAGAGACGGGGGTTTCACCATGTTGGCCAGGCTGGTCTCAAACTCCCGGCCTCAAGTGATCTGCCTACCTTGGCCTCCCAAAGTTCTGGGATTACAGGCATGAGCTACCGTGCCTGGCCAGTAATGTGTGTTTTTAACATCATGATCTATAGGAAATCAGACTATTCATATGTCTATGTCTTCAGTGTTCTGTGAGAGAAAATAAACTTTATATAATTTGAGCTACTGTATTATGGGGATATAACTAGTATTACTTACCCACCTTCTTCTATCCCTCTTTTTACATTTTCTCTAGAAGCATCAACTATTTCCAGATACCTAGTAAGAAGTACTATTTTATATTTCTTATAGTGAATATACAATTCACATTTCCTGTACTTTCAACATTCTTCTTTTTTAATCTACTGACCATGTTTTTTTTTTATTTTTCTGCACAAGTACTTATTTTACAACTAACAAATAAATAACAGTAATGTTATTTAAAATTATCACTTGGTAAAAATAGTATTATCAAATACCAAACACTTAAGTCTCCTGTGTTAGAGAGTAAGAAAAATGCTCAATGATGGGGACATGTCAAAAAGACATATGAGCCAGTTGGGAGATGCTTCTATGGGCTGAGCATACACACACACACACACACACACACACACTCACACACACACACACACACACACACACAGAGGCATATATATGTATATAACATATAATATTGTATATTAAATATAATATGTATATACATTTTATATATATATAAAATTATGTGCTATATAATGTTCAGCCAATGAAGGACCACATATACATTGGTGGTCCCAGGAGGTTATGATGGAGATAAAATTTCTTATCACCTAGTGATGTCATAAGCATCCTAAGGTCAGAGCACAACATACTACTTATATGTTTGTCATGATGCCAATGTAAACAAACCTACTTTGCAGCCAGTCATAGAAAACTATAGCACATACAGTTATGCACAGTACATAATACTTGATCACAGTAAATACTGTTACTGATTTATGTATTTACTATAGTATACTGTAGTTTTTTATCATTATTTTAGATTATACTCTTTCTACTTATAAAAAAAGTTAACTGGAGAACATCCTCAGGCAGGTCCTTCAGGAGGTATTTCAGAAGAACGCATTTTTATCATAGGGGATGACAGCTTCATCTGTGTTATTGTCTCTGAAGACCTTCAAGTGGGACAAGATGTGGAGCTGGAAGACAGTGATATTGATGAACTTGATTCTTTGTAGACCTGGGCTACGGGTATTTTCTTGGTGTTTAGCAAAAATGTTTTTTAGAAAAACTTTAAATAGGGAAAAGCTTATAGAATAAGAGTATAAAGAAAGAAAATAGTTTTGAATAATATTATTCAGAAAGAAAGAAATAGTTTAGTTTTGTACAGCTATACATGGTTGTGCTTTAAACCAAGTGTTTGCAAAAGAGTCAAAAAGTTTTTAAAAATTACATAATATTAAAATGTTACAGTAAGTTAAGGTTATTGTTGAAGAAAGAAAGAACTTTTTTGTTTTTGTTTTTGTTTTTGTTTTTTTCTGAGATGGAGTCTCACTCCGTCACCCAGGCTGGAGTGAAGTGGCATGATCTCTGCTCACTGCAACCTCCACCTCCTGGGTTCATGCCATTCTCCCGCCTCAGCCTCCTGAGTAGCTGGGACTACAAGGCGACCACCACCACGCCCGGCTAACTTTTTTATATTTTTAGTAGAGACAGGATTTCACTGTGTTAGCCAGGATGGTCTCCATCTCCTGACCTAGTGATCGGCCTCCCAAAGTGCCAGGATTACAGGCATCAGACACTGTGAGTGGCCAAGAAAAATATTTTTAAATAAATTCAGCGTCGCCTCTATGCACAGTGTTTATAAAGTGTACAGTAGTGGACAGTAAAGTTCCAGGCCTTCACATTCACTCACCACTCACCGACTCATCCAGAGCAACTTCTCGTCCTGCAAGCTTCAGGACTAGAAGTGCCCTATAGGGGTGTACCATTATTTAATCTTTTATATCATTATTTTTACTGTACCTTTTCTGTGTTTAGATATACGAATACTTAACATTGTGTTACAGCTGACTATAGTATTCAGTAGAGTAACATGCTGTACAGGTTTGTAGCTTAGGAGCAGTAGGCTATACCACTTAGCCTAGGTTTGTCAGGTTTTTGGTAAATACACTCTGTGATGTTTGCACAATGGCGAAATCACCAAATGATGCATTTCTCAGAATATCACTCTGTTAAGCAACACATGACTGTATATTTAGATATATGCCTTTGTATATATAAATATATAATATATATTTTACATATATAATGACAATACGTTTGATTGAATAAAATAAAAATCTTTGAATCCATATTATAAATGAATAAATATCATTTTTACTATAGAATGCCAACTAAAAATGTACAAGAAATCATAGGATTAGAAAAGCACCATTTCACAATGATCTGAGTAGTATTTATCTCAGGCAAAATTATCAATGGATGATGAGACTAACGGGAGAAAATGATATGAGACATGATTTTTTTCATATATTCCAAGCACATTTTTAAAACATTAATTTTAATAGAGGGAAAAGTAACTCCAGTGGGAACCTCTGGCTGTCACAGTCTTAGTCAACTAGTGAAAGTAACTACCACCAGTCATGGGCCAAAGAGACATCAGGCAACATCTGATAAGACGTTAAAGGAAGAAAAAAAACTTCTATATTATATCAGACAAAAACGCATAACTTGAGCATTAACTTGAAGAGATTTAGCACAATCTGAAATTGAGAAACATTTTGGAAGATATTAAGGTCAGGAATCAAGGAAAAATTGAGAAACTGTTGAAGGAAACTGGACATTTGCCAGCTGTGTATACCACGTGATTCTAGATTGGATTCATTGTCTACAGAGTGCGTTACTGGAACAGATGGTTTTCTAGTTATCTATTTCTCTGTAGCAAACTACTCCAAAACAGAGTGGCTGTAAATCAGTTGATGGCATTTATTTTGCTCGCAACCTGCAATTTCAACGGCCTTCAGTGGAGGTAGCTGATACCTGCTCCACTGGGCGACAGCTGAGACAGCTCAGAATTTGAGGGCTGGTATCATTTGAAGACTGGCTCACCCCCATGCCTGGAAGCTGATCATAGTTGTCATCAGAGACCTTAGATAGGACTACCTGTCAGAACACCTACATGTGGCCCATCCATGTACCTCCGTTTCCTTAATTCATGGTGCCTGTATTAGAAGAGTAAGCCTTCAAAGAGGGAGAGAGGAGGAAGCTGTACCAAATTTTCTGAAACAGCCTCTACCATTTTATAAAAGGAGCGCTAAAGAACTTGTAGACATGTTTTAAAGCCAATCAGATTTAGCAAAGTTTGAATGAGGTCCCAAAGAATATACAACAATTTTTAAAAATTATGCACATGACTTTTCTTTAGGTTTAAAATTGTTTCAAACAAAAATAAAATTTGCAACAAAATTATTAATAAACCACGGGTAACATGTTTCAGAATACAAAAGAATTACTCACATGTGTCTCGATCAGCTTAGGGTCCCATAACAAAATACCATGAACTGAGTGGCTTAAACAACAGAAACTTATTTTCTGCGGTTTTTTTTTGTTGTTGCTGTTTGTTTATTTTTGAAACAGAGTCTTGCTATGTCGCTCAGGCTGGAGTGCAGTGGCACGATCTCGGCTCACTGCACCCTCTGCCTCCTGGGTTCATGCCATTCTCCTGCCTCAGCCTCCTGCTAGCTGGGACTACAGGCGACCACCACCACGCCTGGCTAATTTTTTGTATTTTTAGTGCAGACAGGGTTTCAGCGTGTTAGCCAGGATGGTCTCGATCTCCTGACCTCATGATCCACCCGCCTCGGCCTCCCATAATGCTGGGATTACAGGCATGAGCCACCGGGCCCGGCCAGAAATTTATTCTCTTACAATTCTAGAGGCTAGAAGTTCGAGATCAGGGTGCCAACATGGTCAGGCTCTGATAAAGACTCCTTACTAGCTTGCAGACAGCTGCCTTGTTGCTGTGTCTTCATATATATGTGTGTGTGTGTGTGTGTGTCTGTGTGTGTGTGTGTGAGAGAGAGAGAGAGAGAGAGACAGACAGACTGACCGACCTGGTGTCTCTTCTTCTCATAAGGGCACTAATCTCATCAAGAGGACCCCATCCTCATGACCTCATCTAAACCTAATTGTCTCTCAATATGCCATCTTCAAACTCAATCACATTGAGGGTTAGGATTTCAGCATATGATATCATGCTAGATCTCTGAGATTCTAGACACATCAATGGCTATGTGGTCCTTAGCCTCTTTCCCTTGAGTATCAGTTGGCTTGGTAGGGGGTTTATAGTAGCTGAATTCCAAACAATGGAAGACTGTAGTACCTGCCTGTGGCTGAAACACAGGCCTTTTGTGGTATTAAATGAAAGAGAATCCTAAAGTTTGGGTCCATTTTATTTCTCTCTTTGTTCTTCTCAGTGACAGTATGAAACCTATGGTCACTTTACTCTATGGGATGTATCATTTCATTGCTGCAATAGAATCGCACTCCCAATTACTCTGACCAGGTTAGGTAACTGATTCCTCTAAGCCTTGCACTGGTATTCAGAGGTAGGCTGGAGCTCACTCTTTGACAAAGTCAAAACTTTCCCCTGGAAGAAGTTTTGAATAGGCTTACAGACCGAGGTTCGTGTTCAGATTGAAGTCCCCAAATCCTGAGTTTATGGGGGAAATTACTACCTAAACACTGATTATAAACTTTTATTTTGAGACAGTTATCAGTGTACATACAGTTGTAACAAATAATACAGAGAGAATCTGCAACATTCACCTAGTTTTTCTCAATGGTAACATCTTATAAAACTGTAATACCATATTACAACTAGGATGCTGACATTGATCCAGTTAAGACACAGAACAGTTCCATCACTGTGGGCATCCCTTGTCTTTTTGAAACCTCACTCCTTTTCCTCCACCCTCACGTTAACCCCCGACAATCACTTATTTGTTCTTCATTTCTACAGTTTTGATGGTTTAAGAATGTTATATTCAGAATCATATGGTATTTACTTACCTTTCCGGATTTTCTTTTTCACTCAGCATAATTTCCTGGAGATTCATCCAAGTTGTCGTATATATCAATAGTTTCATTCTTATTTCTAATTGGTAACCTATAGTATGAATGTATCACAGTTTATTTAATTATTCATCCATTGAGGAACATCTGAGTTGTTTCTAGGTTTTGGCTATTATGACCAATGCTACTATGAACCCTGTGTACAAGTTTTTGTGTGAACAATTTTTTTTCTTTATCTGAGATAAATATCTAGGGGTGTGTTTGCTGGGCCATATGGTGGATGCAAGTTTTGTTTTATAAACTTTTTTTGCAGAATGATTATAACACTTCATATCCTTTCCTGCAAGAATTCAATTTCTTCACATCCTCTCCAGTCTGGTGTTGTCATATGATAACAGCTGTGTAGTGATATTTCATTGTGCTTTAAGAGACAGGATCTTGCTATGTAGCTGAGGCTGGTCTTGAACTTCTGGGCTCAAGCGATCCTCCCAGCTCATCCACCCATATAGTTGGGACCACAAGTATTTGTCACCTTGCCTAACTCATTGTGCTTTTAGTTTGCATTTCCTTAATAGCTCATGACATTGAACACCTTTTTATGTGTTTATTTGCCAGCCATATATTCAGTTTAGTAAAATGTCTAGACATCTTTTGCCCATTTGCTAATTGAATTCTTTGTGAGTTTTTTTTGTTATGGTTTTGAGGTTCTTTCCATATTCTAGGTAACAGTCCTCTATAGGATATATATATAAGTTTGCAAATATTTTATCCTACTCTCATAGCTTGTTTTCTTATTCTATTAGTCAAGTCTTTCATGAGACAAATTTTTAATATTTTTGAGATCCAATGCCTATTTTTTTAAATGAATTGTGCTTTTGGTGTAAAATATAAGAACTATGTGCCTAACTCTACATAGCAATATTTTCTACATTTTTCCCTAAATTTTTATAGTTTTATATTTTACATTAAAGTCTATGATATATTTTTGGTTGATTTTTGTACAAAATGTGAGTTTTAAGTCAATCTTTTTGCTTTTTTCTGTTGTGTATGCCATTGTTCCAAGCTTTTTCTTCCTCCATTATTTCTTTTTACACACTTGTCAAAAGTCTGTTAGGTAAATTGGTGTGTATTTCTGACTTCTCTATTGCATTCTATGAATCAGAATATCTGTCTTTCTGACAATATCACAGCTGATTACTGTAGCCACATAATAGACCTTTACATTAGGTAAAGTGATTCCTCCAACTGTATTCTTTATTTCAATATTATTATTGTTATTCTTGGGCTTGGGTCTTTATGTATTGATTTTAGAATATGTGTTTCTATTCTTATATATTGACTTTAGAATATGTATTTATATTCTTCATAATACTCTTGCTTTAATTGCCTTAAACATGTGTAAAAATTTTAGGAGAATTGTCATTTTTACTATATTGAATCCTCTGATCTATAAAAATGTTATGTCTTTTCACTTACTTAGTTTTTTTTTGGTATCTTTCAGGAATCATTTTTAAACTTCAGCATAAATTATCTGTAAATGTTCTGATAAATTTTTAATTTGGCTTTGAAGTGATTATAAATAGTATGGTTTAATTTTTTAATTTTTAATTTCTTTGGCATATAGTATGCATATATATTTATGGGGTACATGAGATGTCGATGCAAGAATGCAATGTGAAATAATTACATCATGGAGAATGGAGTATTCATGCCCTCAAGGATTTATCCTTTGAGTTATAATTCAATTATACTCTTTAAGATACATTTTAAAATGTGCAATTAAGTTATTATTGACTATAGTCACCCTATTGTGCTATCAAACAGGTCTTATTCATTTTTTCTTACTATTTTTTGTACTCAATAACCATTCCCACCTCACCTGACGCATCCCCACTACCATTCCCAGCGTCTGGTAATCATCGTTTTACTATGTTCATGAGTACAATTGTTGTGATTTTTAGGTCCCACAAATAAGTGAGAACATGTGATGTTTGTCTTTCTGTGCCTGGCTTAGTTCACTTAACACAGTGATCTCCAGTTCCATCCACGTTGATGCAAGTGACTGGATTTCATTCTTTTTTATGGCAAAACAGTACTCCATTATGTATATGGACCACATTTTCTTTATCCATTCATCTGTTGATGGACACTTAGGTTGTTTCCAAATCTTGACTATTGTAAACAATGCTGCAACAAACACAGGCATGTAGATATCTCTTTGATACACCGTTTTCTCTTCTTTTGTGTGTACACCCAGCAGTAGGATTGCTGGATCATATGGTAGCTCAATTTTTTTTGTTTTCTGAGGAGGCTCCAAACTGTTCTCCATAGTGGTTTTACTAATTTACATTCCCTCCAATAGTATACAAGGGTTCCCTTTTCTCTGCATCCTCACCAGCATTTATTATTGCCTGTCCTTTGGATATGAAAGCCATTTTAACAGGTAAGATGACATCTCCTTGTAGATTTGATTTGCTTTTCTCATAATCCATGTTGAGCATTTTTTGTATGCCTGTTTGCCATGTGTGTGTTTTCTTTTGAGAAATATCTATTCTTTTGCCCATTTTTTGATTGAATTTTTAGACATTTTCCTATAGAGTTGTTTGAGCTCCTTATGTATTCTGGTTATTAATCCCTTGTCAGATGGGTAGTTTGCAAATATTTTCTCCCAGTTTGTGGGTTTTCTCTTCACTTTGGTGACTCACTTTGTTGATCATAACAGCAAAAGCTTTTTAACTTGATTTGATCCTATTTGTCCATTCTTGCCGTGGTTGTCTGTGCTTGTCAGGTATTGCTCAAGAAATTTTTGCCCAGACCAATGTCTTGGATAGTTTACTCGTTGTTTTCTTGTAGTAGTTTCATAGATCTATGTCTTAGAGTTAAGTCTTTAATCCATTTTGATTTGTTTATTGTATATGGCAAGAGATAGGGGTCTAGTCTCATTCTTTGGTGTATGGATATCCAGTTATCCCAATGCCATTTATTGATAGACTGTCTTTTCTCCATTGTATGTTCTTGGCACCTTTGTTGAAAATGAGTTCACTGTAGTGTGTGGATTTGTTTCTGGGTTGTTTATTATGTTTTATTTGTCTATGTGTCTGTTTTTATGAGAATACCATGCTACTTTTGTTGCTGTAGCTCCACAGTATAATCTGAAGTCAGGTGATGTATTACTCCAGTTTCATTCTTTTTGATTAGGATAACTTTAGCTATCCTGGATTTTCTTGTGGTTTCATATAAAGTTTAGGATTGTGTTTTTTTTTTTTTTCCTATGAAGAAAGTCACTGGTATTTTGATAGGGATTGCACTGAGTCTGTAGATAGCTTTGGGTGGTATGAACTTTTTAACAACATTGATTCTTCCGATCCATATACATGAACTATTTATTTTCATTTTTTGGCGTTCCTTTCAATTTCTTTCACCAGTGTTTTATAGTTTCCATCACTGACATTTTTCACTCCATTGGTTAATTCCTAGGTAATTAATTTTATGTGTGCTATTGTAAATGGGATGAATTTTATTTCTTTTTCAGATTGTTCACTGTTGGCATATAGAAATGCTACTGAATTTCGTATGTTGATTTTGTGTCCTGCAAATTCCATAAATTTATCAGTTCTAATCATTTTGGGGGGAATCTTGAGGTTTTTCTTAGTATAAGATCATATAATCTGCAAACAAGGATAATTTGACTTGTTCGTTTTCAATTTGGATGCTCAAATCTTTCTCTGGTCTGATGGCTCTAGCTAGTACTTCCAGTACTATGGTGAATAACAGTGGTGAAAATTGGCATCATTGTTGTGTTCCAGATCTCAGAGGAAAGGCTTTCAGTTTTTCCCCACTCACTATGATACTAGCTGTGGGTGTCTTATATAGAACTTTTGTTATGTTGAGGTATGTTCCTTCTATACCCAGGTTTTTGGGGGTTTTTATCATGAAGAGATGTGGAATTTTTTGAATTATTTTTTAGCATCTATTGATAGGATCATGTGGTTTTTATCCTTCATTCTGTTGACTTGATGTACCACATCGATTGGTTTGTGCATGTTGAACTATCCTTGCATCCCAGAGGTAAACCCACTTGGTCATGATGAATGATTTTTCTAATGCATTGTTGAATTCAGTTTGCTAGTATTTTATGGAAGATTTTTGCATCAATATTCATCAGATTTTGGCCTGTAGTTTTCTTTTTTTGATGTGTCTTTGTCTGGTTTTGATATCAAGGTAATACTGATTGTATAGAATGAGTTTGGAAGTATTTCCTCTTCTTCCATTTCCTGGAATAGTTTGAGTAAGATTGGTATTCATTCCTCTTTAAATGTTTATTTGGTTGGATTCAGCAGTGAAGCCATCGGGTCCCAGGCTTTTCTTTACTGGTAGATTTTTTTTTATTATGCCTTTGATCTTGTACTTCTTATTGGTCTGTTCAGGTTTTGGATCTCTTCTTGGCTCAGTCTCTGGAGATGGTATGTGTCTAGAAATTTGTCCATTTCTTCTAGATTTTCCAATTTGTTGTCATATAGTTGCTCATAGTAACTACTAATGACGTTTTGGCAGTGTCAGTTGTAATGACTCCTTTTTTGTTTCTGATTTTATTTATTTGTATCTTTTTTTCTTAGTTTGGCTAAAGGTTTGTCAATTTCTTTAACTTTTTTAAAAGCCAACTTTTTGTTTTATTGATATTTTGTACTTTTTAAAAAAATTCAATTTCATTTATCTCTGCTCTAATATTTTATTGTTTCTTCTACTAATTTTGGGTTTGGTTTCCACATGCATTCCTAGTTCTTTAAGATGCATTGTTAGACTGTTTATTTGAAGGCTTTCCTCTTTTTTGATAAAGGCACTTATATCTATAATGGTCCCTCTGAGTACTATTTTTGCTGTATCCCATAGGTTTTGGTATGTTGTGTTTAGGTTATCATTTGTTTCAAGAAATTTTTCCATTTCCTTCTTAATTTCTTTATTGACACACTGATCATTGAGGAGCACATGGTTTAATTTCTAGGTATTTGTATAGTTCGCAAAATTCCTCTTATTATTAATTTCTAGTTTTATTGTGGTATGGGAATATGCTTGACATTATTTCCATTTTTTTAAATGTTTTCAGACTTGTTTTGTGACCTAACATATAGTCTATCCCTGATAATGATCCACATGCTGAGGAAAAGAATATGTATTTTGTAGCCATTTTATGAAATGTTCTATAAATATCTGTTATATCCATTTGGTCTGTAGTGCAGAATAAGTCAGATGCTTCTTTATTTTCTGTCTCGAGGATAGGTCCAATGCTGAAAGTGGGGTGTTAAAGTTTCCAGTTATCGTATTTGGACATATTACTCTTTTTAGTTATAATAATGTTTCCTCTATATATTTGGATGTCCCAGTGTTGGGTGCAGATCTATTTAAAATTGTTATATCCTCTTGCTGAATCGATACCTTTGTCATTATATATGACCTTCTTTGTAGCTTCTTATAGTTTTTGTCTTGAAATCTATTTTGTCTGATATGAGTATAGCAACTCCTGCACTTTTTTGGTTTTTATTGGCATGGAATATCTTTTTCCATACCTTTCTTTTCAGTCTGTGTGTATCTTTATAGGTCAAGTGTGTTTCTTGGAGGCAATAGATCATTGGGTCCTGTTTTTTCATTTATTCAGCCAGTCACTGTCTTTTGATTGGATAATTTAGTCCATTTTCTTTTTCTGGTTGTTTTGTGATCTCTTCCTTCCTACTTTTCTTCCTGTCTTCCTTTAGTGAAGGTGATTTTCTCCAGTGATATGACTTCGTTTCTTGTTTTTTAGTTTTTGTGTATCTATTGTACATATTTGGTTTGAGATTACCATGAGGCTTGCAAATACTATTTTATAACCCATTATTTTAATCTGATAAGAACTTAACACTGATACGAAGAAAACTACTCAAAACTCTAAGCCTTGGCTTTTTCTCCTTACTAAATTTTTGGGTTTTTTTTTTCTGTTTATTCCTTAGTGTACTGACTATGTCTTGGAAAAGTTGCTGTAGTTATTATTATTATTATTTTTTTTATTTTTATTTTTTGAGACGGAGTCTCGCTCTGTCGCCCAGGCTGGAGTGCAGTGGCGGGATCTCGGCTCACTGCAAGCTCCGCCTCCCGGGTTCACGCCATTCTCCTGCCTCAGCCTCCAGAGCAGCTGGGACTACAGGCGCCCGCCACTACGCCCGGCTAATTTTTTGTATTTTTAGTAGAGACGGGGTCTCACTGTTTTAGCCGGGATGGTCTCGATCTCCTGACCTCGTGATCCGCCCGCCTCGGCCTCCCAAAGTGTAGTTATTATTTTTGGATGCTTTATAATTTAGTCTATTTAGGATAAGAGTAGTTAACACACCACTGTTACAGTGTTATAATATTCTGTGTTTTTCTGTTTACTTACTATGGCCAGTGAGTTGTATACCTTTAGATGATTTCTTACTGCTAATTAATGTCCTTTTCTTTGTGGTCAAAATAATTCCTTTAGCATTTCTTCTAAGACAGAGCTGATGTTGATGAAATCCCTCGGCTTTAGTTTGTCTGGGGAAGTTTTTATTTCTTCTTCATATTCAAAAGATATTTCTGCTAAATATGCTATTCTAGGGTAACCATTTTTTTGCTTCAGCACTTGAGATATGTCATACCACTCTCTCCCAGCCTGTAAGTTTCCACTGAAAGAGTTGGCTGCCAGACCTGTTGGAGCTCTTTTTGTTTATTTTCTCTGGCTGCTTTTAGAATCCTTTCTTTATCATTGACTTTTGAGAGTTTGATAACTAAATGCCTTGAGAGTTTAACCCTTCTTTGGGTTGAATCTGCTTGGTGTTGTATAACCTTCTTGTACTTGGATATTGATATCTTTCTTTAGGCTTGAGAACTTCTCTGTTATTGTCCTTTTGAATAAATGTTCTACCCATACCTTTTTCTCTACCTTCTTTTAAGGACAATAACTCTTAGATTTACCCATTGGAGGCTATTTTCTAGATCCTATAGGCAATATATTGTTTTTTATTCTTTTGCCTCCTCTGACTGTGTATTTTCAAATAGCCTGTCTTAGAGCTAATTCTTCCTCCAGCTTGATCGATTCTGCCATTAAAGAACTCTAATGTGTTCTTCAGTATGCCAGTTACATTTTTCAGCTCCAGGATTCCTGCTTCTTTTTAATTATTTCAATCTCTTTGATAAATTTATTGGGTAGCATTCTGAATTCCTTATCTGTGTTATCTTGAATTTCTTTGAATTTTCTCAACATAGCTATTTTAAATTCTCTGTCTAAAAGGTCACGTATCTCTGTTACGTGTGACCGTTCTCCAAGATTGGTCCTTTTGCTATTTTTAGTTCATTTACTGAGGTCATGTTTTCCTGGATAGTGTTGATATTAACAATGTTCTTTGGTGTCTGGGCATTGAAGAGTTAGGTATTTGTTAGAGTCTCCACTGTCTGGGATTATTGTAGCCATTCTTCTCTGGAAGACTTTCGGGTATTTGAAAGGACTTGGGTGTTGTGATCTAACCTGTATCTGCTATAGGGTGTATCCCAAGCCCAGTAAATGCAGTGGTTCCTGCATAGTCATAGGGGTTGTTAGTATCTGCATATTAAGCCTTGATGGTCATGGACAAGATCTGAGAGAATTCTCTGGATTACCAGGCAGAGACTCTTGTTATCTTCCCTTACTTTCTAAAAAAAAAAGATTCTCTCTGTCCTGAAGCTGGGGGTAGAGTAATACAAGCACCCCTGTGGCCCCTACCACTATGACTGCACTTGGTCAGAACTGAAGCCAGCACAGCACTGGGTCTTGTCCCAGGCCTCTGTATCTCTCAGCCATTGGCAAAGCCAGCCAGGCCTATGTCTTTTTCTTTTCAGGTCAGTGAGGTCTCCTGGGCCTCAGGTAGATCCAGAGGTGCCATCAGGGAGTTAGGACTAGAGTTAAAAACCTTAGAAGTCTACCTGGTGTTCTATTTTACTGTGGCTGAGCTGGCAATCAAACCACAAGATGCAATCCTTCCCACTCTTCCCTTCCCTTTCCAAAGACAAACGAGCCTCACCCAGTAGCCACCACCACTCCAGGCCACAAGGAGTACGGTCAGACTACCACTGATATTCCCTTAAGGCCCAAGGACTCTTATATCAGCTTATGGTGAATGCTGGATGGCCTAGGATTCATGCTTCAGGGCAATAGGCTCCCCTCTGGCCCACAGCAGGTCCATAGTGCCATCCAAGAGTCAAGTCCTGGAGCTGGGGACTCCAGGAGCCTGCTTGGTGCTCTACACCCATGTGGCAATGCTGATACTTAAGATACAAGACTTGGTCTTCCTTTTACTTTTCCCTCTGCTTTTCTCCAGTAGAAAGAGTTTTGCCATGTAGCCAACACAGCTGGTAAAGTACTGAGTCTCACCTGAAGCCACCATGTCTCAACATCTCACCCAATGCCCTCAACATAGTTCCTGGGTATTGCTACTGGTTACTCAGGGCCCAAGGGCTCTTCAGTTAGCAGGTTATGAACTCTGCAAGGACTGGGTCCTTTTCTTCAAAGCAGTGGATTCCCTTCTGGCCCAGGGTCTATCTAGAAATGTCATTTTGGAGCTAGGGCCTGGAACGGAGTCCTCATGACTCTGACTATGACTTATCTTGCTGTGACTAAGCTGGTATCCAAGATGTCCAAAGTATCCACTTTCCTCTCTTTAAGTGGAAGGATGGGGTCTCATTTGGAGCCATGAGTTGTGCAGCCTAGGGTTATGGGACGGATGATGCCAGTATTACCTTGGCTGTCCCGGCTGTTGTCTCAGTATGTCAGTCACATGCCCTCCCAATCCACTGTCTCTGGACCTAGTTTAACACTAGGACTTGCCAAGAGTTGGCAAGTCCTCATGGCCTAGAGTGCCTTTTAAGTTTATTTGGAGACACAGAGCACTGTATCCCTTGGTGGTGAAGTTTGGGTCACTGGGATTGGTGATTCCTGCCTTGTTAGGGCTGGTTTAAATGTTTCCCCTGTGGATGGGCATCAGCTGAGTTTCATGCAGTTTTACCTTCTGCTCTAACAGGACACTACTGAGTCCAATGCCTCACAATTGCCGTGTTATCCCTCACCCAGCACTGAGAGTCATTCTCCTCTCCTTACTACTGCTGCAGAGATGTAGGGAGGGTGGGGTGTAGAGGGGAAGGGTGGCATTGACCATTTAGGGCTCTTTATCTCTTCATGCCTCTTTCAGCCATACACAGTTAAATCAGCGACTATGAGTGCTCATATGATTTTTGGTTCTTATGAAGGTGATTTTTCTATGTAGATAGTTCTTAAATTGGTGCCCTTGCAGTAGGGGATGATTGGTGGAGCCTACATGTCTGCTATCTTGCTCTACCTCCAATATGGTGTTTCAGAATTTTGTTTCTACAGGCTTATTATTAATATATAAAAGTAAATGATTTCTAATGTGTTCTTATATCCTCTGACCTTCTGACTTTACTGACTGCATTTATGAGTTATAGAAAATTGTTTTCACATTCCTTGGGATTTTCTATGTAGACAATAATGTCATTTTCAAATAGAGAAAATTTTATTTCTTCCTTTTTAACCTGTATGTATTTTATTTCTTTTTCCTGCTATACAAAAATGGTTAGAAATCCAAGTGCTATTTTAGTAAGGGAATGATGTGATTGGACACCATTGCCCTGTCTGCAATCTTAGAGAGAACTCATCCAGTCTTTCATCATTACGTACAATGTTTGCTATAGGTTTTTAAAAATACGTTCTTTGTCAAATAGAGAAAGGTCTCCTTTATTTCTAGTTTCCTGAGATATTTTTATTATTTGAATTGGCGTTATATTAAGCACCAAATGCTATTCTGCATCAATTGATATAATCATATGATTTTTCTTTTTTAGCCTATTGACACAGGGGCTTATGTTGGTTGATTCTTTTTTTTTTTTTAATTTATAAAGAAAAACGTTTTATTGGCTCACGGTTCCACAGGCTATACAGGAAGCATACTGGCTTCTGCTTCTAGGGAGGTCTCAGGAAACTTATGATCATGGGAGAAGGCACAGGAGAGGCTGGCACATCTTACATGGCTGGGGCAGGAGGAAGAGAGCAAGGGGAGAGGTGCCACACACTTTTAAACAACCAGATCTCACAAGAACTCACAACAGGGATGACAGCACCTGGGGGATGGTGCTAGACCATGAGAAGCCACCTCCATGGCCTCGTCACCTCCCACCAGGCCCATCTCCAGCATTGGGAGTTACATTTCAACATGAGATTTGGGTGGGAACACAGAGTCCAACCATATCACCTCCACCTGTCTTGAAATGCCAGGGCTCCCTCCCCAGCCACACCTGAAAGCAAAGTTCTAGAACCACTCTGAGACAATAAGCCAGTTGCTTCAAACTGAGCAGAAAACGACTCAACGTCCAGAGCAAAGGAAATACATAAAGTGCCTAAATGGGCCTAATGGGATCTTAGTAATCAAATATATCATCATGTGTGTATTTTCCACATTATGGTGGGAACACTTTAGAGCCAGCCCAGCTCCCCTCCTGTTCCTGTTAGAATTTTGTTCTTAGAAAAAAAATTTGTGTGTATGTGTTTTCATATTTCTTTTTTTTTAAATTTTTATTATACTCTAAGTTCCAGGGTACATCTGCACAATGGGCAGGTATGCTACATATGTATACATGTGCCATGTTGGTGTGCTGCACCCCTTAACTCGTCATTTACATTAGGCACTTCTCCCAGTGCTATCCCTCCCCCATGCCTCCACCCCTCGACAGGCCCTGGTGTGTGATGTTCCCCACCCTGTGTCCAAGTGCTCTCATTGTTCAATTCCCACCTATGAGTGAGAACATGCGGTGTTTGGTTTTCTGTCCTTGCGATAGTTTGCTCAGTATGATGGTTTCCAGCTTCATCCATGTGCCTACAAAGGACATGAACTTATCCATTTTTTATGACTGCAGAGTATTCCATGGTGTATATGTGCCACATTTTCTTAATCCAGTCTATCATTGTTGGACATTTTGGTTGGTTCCAAGTCTTGGCTATTGTGAATAGTGCCACAATAAACATACGTGTGCATGTGTCTTTATAGCAACATGTTTTATAATCTTTTGGGTATATACCCAGTAATGGGATGGCTGGGTCAAATGGTTTTTCTAGTTCTAGATCCTTGAGGAATTGCCACACTCTCTTCCACAATGGTTGAAGTAGTTTACACTCCCATCAACAGTGGAAAAGTGTTCCTATTTCTCCACATCCTCTCCAGCATCTGTTGTTTCCCGACTTTTTAATGATCGCCATTCTAACTGGTGTAAGATGGTATCTCATTGTGGTTTTTATTTGCATTTCTCTGATGGCCAGTGATGATGAGCCTTTTTGCATGTGTCTGTTGGCTGCATAAATGTCTTCTTTTGAGAAGTGTCTGTTCATATCCTTTGCCCAGTTTTTGATGGGGTTGTTTGATTTTTCCTGTAATTTGTTTAAGTTCTTTGTAGATTCTGGATAGTAGTCCTTTGTCAGATGGATTGATTACAGAAATTTTCTTCCATTCTGTAGGTTGCCTTTTCACTCTGATGGTAGTTTCTTTTGCTGTGCAGAAGCTCTTTAGTTTAATCAGATCACATTTGTCTATTTTGGCTCTTGTTGTGATTGCTTTTGGTGTTTTAGTCCTGAAGTTCTTGCCCATGCCTGTGTCCTGAATGGTATAGGTTTCCTTCTAGGGTTTTTATGGTTTTAGGTCTAACATTTGAATCTTTAATCCATCTTGAATTAATTTTTGTACAAGGTGTAACGAAGGAATCCAGTTTCAGCTTTCTACATATGGCTAGCCAGTTTTCCCAGCACCATTTATTAAATAGGGAATCCTTTCCCCATTGCTTGTTTTTGTCAAGTTTGTCAAAGATCAGATGGTTGTAGGTGTGCGGTATTATTTCTGAGGGCTCTGTCCTGTTCCATTGGTCTATAGATCAGTTTTGGTACCAGTAACATGCTGCTTTGGTTACTGTAGGCTTGTAGTATAGTTTGAAGTCAGGTAGCATTATGCCTCCAGTGTTGTTCTTTTTGCTTAGGATTGTCTTGGCTATGCGGGCTCTTTTTTGGTTCCATATGAATTTTAAAGTAGTTTTTTTCCAATTCTGTGAAGAAAGGCATTGGTAGCTTGATGGGGATGGCATTGAATCTATAAATTACCTTGGGCAGTATGGCCATTTTCATGATATTGATTCTTCCTATCCATGAGCATGGAATGTTCTTCCATTTGTTTGTTTCCTCTTTTATCTTGTTGAGCAGTGGTTTGTAGTTCTCCTTGAAGAGGTCTTTCACATCCCTTATAAGTTGGATTCCTAGGTATTTTATTCTCTTTGAAGCAGTTGTGAATGAGAGTTCACTCACTATTTTGCTCTCTGTTTGTCTGTTATTGATGTATAAGAATGCTTGTGATTTTTGTACATTGATTTTGTATCCTGAGACTTTGCTGAAGTTGCTTATCAGCTTAAGGAGATTTTGGGCTGAGATGATGGGGTTTTCTAGATATACAATCATGTCATCTGCAAACAGGGACAGTTTGACTTCCTCTTTTCCTAATTGAATACCCTTTCTTTCTTTCTCCTGCCTGATTTCCCTGGCCAGAACTTTCAACAGTATGTTGAATATGAGTGGTGGAAGGGCATCCTTGTCTTGTGCCAGTTTTCAAAGGGAATGCTTCCAGTTTTTGCCCATTCAGTATGATATTGGCTATGGGTTTGTCATAAATAGCTCTTATTATTTTGAGATACGTTCCATCAATACCTAGTTTATTGACAGTTTTTAGCATGAAGGTTGTTGAATTTTGTCGAAGGTATTTTCTGCATCTATTGAAACAATCATGTGGTTTTGATCTTTGGTTCTGTTACGTCTATTGATTTGCATATGTTGAACCAGCCTTGCATCCCAGGGATAAAGCAAATTTGATCTTGGTGGCTAAGCTTTTGGAGGTGCTGCTGGATTTGGTTTGCCAGTATTTTATTGAGGATTTTTGCATCGATGTTTATCAGGGATATTGATCTAAAATTCTGTTTTTTTGTTGTGTCTCTGCCAGGCTTTGGTGTCAGGATGATGCTGGCCTCATAACATGAGTTAGGGAGGATTCCCTCTTTTTCTATTGATTGGAATAGTTTCAGAAGGAATGGTACCAGCTTCTCTTTGTACCTCTGGTAGTGTTTGGCTGTGAATCCATGAAGTCCTGGACTTTTTTTGGTTGGTAGGCTATTATTGCCTCAATTTCAGAGGCTGTTTTTAGTCTATTCAGGGATTCAACTTCTTCCTGGTTTAGTCTTGCGAGGGTGTATGTGTCCAGGAATTCATCATTTTCTTCTAGATTTTCTAGTTTATTTGTGTAGAGGTGTTTATAGTATTCTTTGATGGTAGTTTGTATTACTGTGCGATCAGTGGTGATATCCCCTTTATCATTTTTTATTGCATCTATGTGATTCTTCTTTTCTTCTTTATTAGTCTTGCTAGCAGTCTACCTATTTTGTTAATCATTTCAAAAGCCAGCTCCTGGATTCATTGATTTTTTGAAGGGTTTTTTGTGTGTCTATCTCCTTCAGCTCTGCTCTGATCTTAGTTATTTCTTGCCTTCTGCTAGCTTTGGAATGTGTTTGCTCTTGCTTCTCTAGTTCTTTTAATTGTGACGTTAGGATGTCAATTTTAGATCTTTCCTGCTTTCTCTTGTAGGCTTTTAGTGCTATAAATTTCCCTCTACACACTGCTTTAAATGTGTCCCAGTGATTCTGATATGTTATGTCTTTTTTTTCTCATTGGTTTCAAAGAACATCTTTATTTCTGCCTTCATTTCATGATTTACCCAGTAGTCATTCAGGAGCAGGTTGTTCAGTTTCCACGTAATTGTGCAGTTTTGAATGAGTTTCTTAATCCTGAGTTCTAATTTGATTGCACTGTGGTCTGAGAGACAGTTTGTTATGATTTCTGTTCTTTTACATTTGCTGAGGAGTGCTATACTTTCGGCTATGTGGTCAGTTTTGGAATAAGTGCGATTTGGTGCTTAGAAGAATGTTTATTCTGTTGATTTGGGGTGGAGAGTTCTGTAGATGTCTATTAGGTCCGCTTGGTGCAGAGCTGAGTTCAAGTCCGGGATATCCTTGTTAACTTTCTGTCTCATTGATCTGTCTAATGTTTACAGTGGGGTGTTAAAATCTCCCATTATTATCGTGTGAGAGTTTTAGTTTCTTTGTAGGTGTGTAAGAACTTGCTTTATGAATCTGGGTGCTCCTGTATTGGGTGCATATATATTTAGGATAGTTAGCTCTTCTTGTTGAATTGATCCCTTTACCATTATGTAATGCCCTTCTTTGTCTCTTTTGATCTTTGTTGGTTTGAAGTCCATTTTATCAGAGACTAGAAATGCAACCCCCCCTTTTTTTTTTTTTGTTTTCCCTTTGCTTGGTAGATCTTCCTCCATCCCTTTATTTTGAGCCTATGTGTGTCTCTGCACGTGAGATGGATCTCCTGAATACAGCACACTGATGGGTCTTGACTCTTTATCCAGTTTGACAATCTTTGTCTGTTAATTGGGGCATTTAGCCCATTTACATTTAAGGTTAATATTGTTATGTTATGTTTGAATTTGATCCTGTCATTATAATGTTAGCTGATTATTTTGCTCGTTAGTTGATGCAGTTTCTTCCTAGCCTCGATGGTCTTTACAATTTGGCATGTTTTTGTAGTGGCTGGTACTGGTTGTTCCTTTCCATGTTGAGTGCTTCCTTCAGGAGCTCTTGTAAGGCAGGCCTGGTGGTGACAAAATCTGTCAGCATTTGCTTGTCTGTAAAGGATTTCATTTCTCCTTCACTTATGAAGCTTAGTTTGGCTGGATATGAAATTCTGGGTTGAAAATTCTTTTCTTTAAGAATGTTGCATATTGGCCCCCACTCTCTTCTGGCTTGTAGAATTTCTGCTGAGAGGTCTGCTGTTAGTCTGATGGGCTTCCCTTTGTGGGTAACCTGACCTTTCTCTCTGGCTGCCCTTAATATTTTTTCCTTCATTTCAACTTTGGTGAATCTGACAATTATGTGTCTTGGGGTTGCTCTTCTTGAGGAGTATCTTTGTGGCGTTCTCTGTATTTCCTGAATTTCAATGTTGGTCTGCCTTGCTAGATTGGGGAAGTTCTCCTGGATAATATCCTGAAGAGTGTTTTCCAACTTGGGTCCATTCTCCCCATCACTTTTAGGTACACCAATCAGACGTAGATTTGGTCTTTTCACAAAGTCCCATATTTCTTGGAGGCTTTGTTCATTTCTTTTTACTCTTTTTTTCTCTAAACTTCTCTTCTCACTTCATGTCATTTATTTGGTTTTCAATCACTGATACCCTTTTTTCCACTTGATTGAATCATCTACAGAAGCTTGTGCATGCATCACATAGTTCTCATGCCATTGTTTCAGCTCCATCAGGTCATTTAAGGCCTTCTCTACACTGTTTATTCTAGTTAGCCATTCATCTAACATTTTTTCAAGGTTTTTAGCTTCTTTGTGATGGGTTTGAACATCCTCCTTTAGCTCGGAGGAGTTTGTTATTACTGATCTTCTGAAGCCTACTTCTGTCAACTTGACAAAGTCATTCTCCGCCCATCTTTGTTCCGTTGCTTGCGAGGAGCTGCGATCTTTGGAGGAGAAGAGGTGCTCTGGTTTTTTAAATTTTCAGCTTTTCTGCTCTGGTTTCTCCCCATCTTTGTAGTTTTATCTACCTACCTTTGGTCTTTAATGATGGTGACCAATAGATGAGGTTTTGGTGTGGATGTCCTTTTTGTTGATGCTGATGCTCTTTCTTTCTGTTTGTTGGTTTTCCTTCTAACAGTCAGGACCCATAGCTGCAGGTCTGTTGGAGTTTAGTGGAGGTCCACCCCAGTCCCTGTTTGCCTTGGTATCACCAGTAGAGGCTGCAGAACAGCAAATATTGCAGAACGACAAATGTTGCTGCCTAATCCTTCCTCTGTAAGCTTCGTCTCAGAGGGGCACCTGCTGTATGAGGTGTCAGTCGGCCCTTCTGGGAAGTGTTTCCCATTTAGACTACTGAGGGGTCGGGGACCCACTTGAGGAGGCAGTCTGTCCATTCTCAGATCTCAAACTCCATGGTGGGAGAACCACTGCTCTTTTCAAAGCTGTCAGACAGGGACATTTAAGTCTGCAGAAGTTTCTGCTGCCTTTTGTTCAGCTATGTCCTGCCCCCAGAGGTGGAGTCTATGGAGGCAGGCAGGCCTCATTGAGCTGTGGTGGGCTGCATCCAGTTGGAGCTTCCTGGCAGCTTTGTTTACCTAGTCAAGCCTCAGCAATGGTGGAAGCCCCTCCCCCAGCCTCGCTGCCACCTCGCAGTTTGATCTGGGACTGCTGTGCTAGCAGTGAGCAAGGCTCTTTGGGTGTGGAACTCACTGAGCCAGGTGTGGGATATAATGTACTGGTGTGCCATTTGCTAAGACCATTGGAAAAGCGCAGTATTAGGGCAGGAGTGTCCCAATTTTCAAGGTACCATCTGTCACTGCTTCCCTTGGCTAGGAAAGGGAATTCTCTGACCCCTTGAGCTTCCTGTGTAAGGTGATGCCCCACCCTGCTTCGGCTCACACTTCATGGGCTGCACCCACTGTCCACGCAGTCCCAGTGAGATTAACCCGGTACCTCAGTTGGAAATGCAGAAATCACCTGTCTTCTGCGTCACTCACACTGGGAGCTGTAGACTGGAGTTTTTCCTTTTCGGCCATCTTGGAACCATCATCCAGTTGATTCTTTAGTGTTTGAAGAGCATTTCATATTTTGGCTGTGGTATGTAGTGCTTTTTATCTATTGCTAGATTTTATTTGCTAATAGTTTGTTGAGGATTTCTCTGTGTAATTATATGTGCAATATTGGTCTATAGTTTTTCGGCTTTATACTATTTTTTTGGTCTGGTTTGGGTATGAGGGTACTACCAATCTCATAAAACTAGTTAGTATTTTATCCTCTTCTATTTTTTGTAAGATATGTAAAATTGGTGCTAACTCCTTTTATAAACGTTTTGTAGAATTCTCCAGGGTCTATAGTATTTTGGCTTTAATACTGTTTTTTGGTCTGATTTTGGTATCAGGGTACTACCAATCTCATAAAACTAGTTAGTATAAAACTAGTTAGTATTTTATCCTCTTCTGTTTTTTGGAAGATATGTAAAATTGGTGCTAACTCATTTTTTAGATGTTTGGTAGAATTCTCCAGTAAAACTATCTGTGTTTGAAGACTTTTTTTGGAAGCAATTCAGTTACAAATTCAAGTTCTTTAACAGTTACAGGACTATTCAGATTGTTTATTTCATGTCGATTGAGTTTTAATAGTTTGCATTTTGTGAGATTTTTTTCATTTTTTTCTACATTTTCTTCAGTCTTTCTTCAGATTACTATACCCATCTATGCCCATGACTACTCAAGATAGTCATTCACTCATCTGGGAGAAAGCCCTGTTATCCTCTTACTTCTTTTGTATTCTTCAAAGCCACATAACTCTCCAGTATTTTCCCCCACCTTAGAAACAAGTTAGGCATGCCTATGATATTTCTGCTTTCTTCCTATCACATCAGCCCCTTTAAAGAAAGAAGATAATTATAAACAAGAAGAAAGGAAGAGATAGTGAAGGAGAAAAAGTGAAATAATTCAAAATATTATTTTGTTACACAGGTGAAAAAGCTTTGAATTTATTTTATTATTTATTCATTTAAACAAAATTACTGAATACCCACTATATGCCTAGTACTCTATTATATTCTAGGAAACACAGTAGAAAGCGTAATGGAATTTATCCTGTTAATGTAGAATTTATGATCTGGGTGGTGGTTGCTTTTTCTTTAAAAGGTTAGACAATAAATATTTTAAGCAATTTTGACCATACACTCTGTTTTAACTACTCCATTCTGCCGTGATAGTGTGAAGGTATCTATAGACAGTATGTAAGTGGATACGCTACTGTGTGTTTCAATAATAACATAATAATTTATGTTAAAGTTTTAATTTAACATTCTCATCATGAACTATTATATCTGTCATGTTTTTAAAAAACATATCAAACAGTAAAAACCATTCTGAGCTCACAAGCCAGGCAACAACAGGTGGAGAACTTGGTATGGATCATGGGCCAATTTGCCAAACCCTGATTTAAAAAAACAGAAATGTGAAATCAGGACACAGAGAAAACGAAGTCTTTGCGGCAGCCTATACAGATAGGCTGAGAGCTAACACCTGCTCATGGTATTTTTTCCCACATAGGTAAAGAGGATTTACCAAGAAGCGAACAGTGCTTAAATTTGAGAGCCCTGACAATTTGTTGTGGCTCTGATATATTTTTTAAGTGGTGCAAAATAACATACAGTAACTCAAATATTTAAGAATTCTATTACTTTCTATGCCAATTTCCTCAGACACAGGAAATTACAGGCACAGTTAATTTGAATGACACATATATTGAGATATAGTCAAATATATTCATATGTTCACTTTCATTCATACCTGTCATCTTTAGCCTTCATAGTATAGAATTACTTGCTTGAATACTTCTACAGGCCATTAGGCTGCCTTTCCCTGCATCATGATACATGTACTGGCTCTGAAAGTGTGTATGTTCTGGAGGACAAAAATTATTTGATGAGGTACTAGTTTATGGAAAATATTCTAATTATTGAATTTGTAAAATTTCACATATCTATTATCTAATATCTAATTGTGCCTAGTGAAAATGGAAGTTTTCTCCTGTCAAGAATATGTTTGAAAATGCAGTGTATACAAATGTAAATGTAAAATAGATATTTGTCAATTGTTATGCTCGTATAACATAACCTGTAGCTGTACCTCACACATGTGAAATAACATTTTTATACATCATAATGTATTGGATTCTATCATATTCTGATGCATATTCATGTACTGAATTCTGGTGGATCAATTTGAAATAGGAAGTAAAATTGCAATACACACAGCCTGAGGAAATAAATGTTCTGGTGGCATAGTACCTAAATATATTTATTAAGTAGTCAATGTTGGAAAAGGGAAATAAGTTACACAAAACTGGAGTGCAGTATAATGTAGTGGTAATTTTAAAATACATGTTGAGGTTAATATGAGCGAAATGATGGAGCAGCAGCTCCAAGCTTTCATCCTCCTAAAGAAGCATTAAAAAAAAAGCAGAAACTGTCAAAAGTAATTTTGTCAAAACTCAGAAAAAGAGTCAAAGGTTTACAGCAACCAAGTAAACACTGATTAAAAAAAATAGTAAAAAAGTGACTTCAAAATGGTAAAAATCTTTGAGGAGTTTTTTACTTGTCCTACCCAATCCTGTTCCTGGCTCTATGGCAGTCTTCAGACACCAACAATTAGTGTTCTTAGAACAGAGTCCTGGCCCCTGGTTCCAGAGGAAGCAGAGAAGACCTTATGCACAAATTATTGTATGTGTCTCTTGTAACCTGTCTGGAGACTACGTGAAAGAAAAGATGCTCTTCTCTGTTTCATCTGTCTCAGAACTCTAGCCATAAAATCTTCCTGGAAAATGGAATGGAATTGCTCAAAAAACAATGCAAGCTGAATTAATGACAGACAGATGTTAGGTTAAAAGATTAAATGGAAAATATAAAATAGATGCATTAATGGATCAGGAGCAAACATTGTGGAGAATTTCTCTGGGAAATTGGGACGTTCAGAATCACATGTGTACGGGGTGGGCGATTGAGAAAGCTGCACATATGCTTAGGGCAAGATACATGTTCACAAAAGAACTGAAGTCACTTTAAGTTTTCACCTTGGGCTGATCCCCAGGCTCAGTCCCCTGGCTAAGTGTTGAAAGAGTGCCCCAATACAGAGCCAATCTGCAATAACTGAGAAACGTGGTTTTTTTATTCATTTTGGTTTTGTTTGTGTGCTTGTTTTTTTTATTGTTACAGCTCCTAGCATTCAAGGAAATCTTCTCAAAACACTAGCTGAGCACAAGGAAAAGAGGTTCAGAGACTGCACACAAAGCGAATTTCAGTCTTTAGAAAAAAGTTAACAAAAGTCACTAAGCAAATAAATTCCTACAATTTTAAAAAAGTGTCAACAACAACAAAAACCAGCACAATTCGCAAAAGGTGGCAGAATCTGATTTTAGAGTTGCCACTTTATAATACTCAAATGCCCAGTTTGCAACAGAAAGTCACAATTCATACAAAGAAACAGAAATGAAAAGGCTACTAAAAGGAACAAGATAAATGGACAGAAACCAACCCTGAAGAAATTCAGACACTGGATTTAATAAATAGAGTTTAAAATAGCGATTTAAAATATGTTCAAGTAGCTAAAGAAAAACATGGACAAAAACTAAGGAACATGAAGTAAATAATGTATAAACAAAATAAGAATATTGTTAAATAGAAAGTATAAAACAAACAGAACGTATTGTTTAGAAGATTTCTGTAACGATATACAAGAAATTAGTAATGGTGGTTGTCTTAGGTACAAAGGACTTTGGATAGCTGGAAGACAAGGATGGGAAAGAGAAGTAGTTGTCACTGTAAATGCTTCTGTGCCTTTGAAATTTGTATTTTGTTGCAATCATGTGTTGTGTACACATATTACCTATTTAAGAGGAATAAACTTATTCAAAAATAAAACTGAAATGCTGGTATTTAACATTATAATAATTGAAATAGAACATATACTAGCCAAGCTCAGTAGCAGATTTAAGCAGGTAGAAGAAAAAAATAGCAAACTTTAAGACAGGCCAAGCAAAATTACTGAGTCTGAGGAGCAGAAATGAAAAAAAGGAATAAGGAAAGTTGAAGACAGGCTAAGGGACCTCTGGGACACCATCACATGGACCAATATATGTATCATGGAGGTCAAATAAGAAGAAAGGGGCAAAATACAATCATGCATTACTTATCAACAGGCATGCATCCTGAGAAATGCATCTCAAGTGTTTTCATCATTATGTGAACATCATAGAGTGTATTTACACAGCCCTAGATGGGACAGCCTACTATCCACCTAGACTATATAAAATAACCTACTGCTCCTAGGTTACAAAGCTGTACAGCATGTCACTGTATTGAATACTGTAGGCAGTTGCACACAGTAGTAAATATTTGTGTATGTAAACATAGAAAATGTACTATAAAAATACAATATTAAGGGATCGCTGTCATATATGTTATCTGTTGCTGACTAAAATGTTATCTGTTTCATGGCTTATTTGAAGAAATAATGGCCTAAAACATTACAAATTTGATGAAACACGTGCATATGCCTGTCCAAGAAGCTTAACAAACATGATGTAGGATAAACTGAAAGATAGTCAGACAAGACACTTTTTAATCAAGCTGGCAAAAACAAAGACAAAAAGGGAATGTATAAAGCAGCAAGAGAGAAGGAACTTGTCATAGATAAAAGATTCTCAATAAGATCAATAATTTGTCATCAGGAACCATAGAGGCCAGAATACAATTGGAATAACATACAGAAATTGCTAAAAGTTCTATGGAGAACAAAAACAACAACAACTTGTCAACCAAGAACTGTAGGTGTTTGCAGTGGTAATAACAAACTGCATTTCTGGGGGCCTACTGCTTACCTGTCTACAAGAAGTCCCTTTTGGTTCCAAGCTGATCCTGACAGGGAAATGATGTGGCAAAGGCTGCGTTCTTTGCTCCTCCCTTTAAGGTGCCACCCTGGATTTCTGTACTCCATCAAGATACCTCTGAAGCGGCATCTTTTGTCTGGGTTAATACTAGAGATTCGTTGCTTCATTCCAAGGAAATCAAGGATGTGGACACACAAGGAGTGAGTTTAAGAGCAGAAGTTTGATAGGCAAAAGATCAAAGATCCCTCCTGCAGAGGGACAGCGTTCCAAACAGATCTCCCTATTCGTGGTTAGGTGCAGCTGGTTTTATAGATGAGTTTGAGGAGGTGGTATCTGATTTACACAGGGCACAAAGGATTGGCTGGACTAGCTGTGCCATTTACATAGCATTTGAAGAAGTTGGCTACTCCACCCTAATATTTTTTATGCAACTGGATTCTCTACCTGGCTGGCACCATGTTGCTTGCTTGCTTACTGCACACACGGCAACAAAGAAAAGGGAAGCTAGAGCCTCTATGAAAAAACATACCTGCCTTCCAGGTACGGTCCCTTTTTCTATTGGCACAGCTGCTGGCATTTACCTATGCAAGCATCCAGCTTGCATACCTATGTCTGCAGCTTGATTTTTCAAGCTGTTTTTCGTTAGAAAATAAATGATTTAGTGGCTGCTTTTTATTAAAAGGAAATCCCACCAAGGACTCTCTTACCCTCACTATCTGCCTAAATAATTTCTTTTTAGCCCCTGTGTTACCTCCACTCACTTGCTGTACTTTAGCCTTCTTCTTCAGGCAGTCTAGTCAAAAACTGCTTATTTATTTGTTGTTTTATTCATTTTTTTGTGTGTGGGAATAAACATGGCAGGAACCCCTAGTCAGCTATCTTGCTCACATCGTGGAAGGAAGGACTGTTATCTATATTTTCTTAACAGCTATGATTCTTTTTCTTATCTCCATATTTTTGACAATAATATATTTTGATTATATAGTGATAAAAGAGAAAAGTTCTGACATTTTGAATCATTTGTTTTTTTTTTCATTTTAGAGGTTTAGCTTCTACCAAGATTCTTATTTTGCACCGTAATTAAATTGCGTGTGTGTGTTTATATACATGAATAGACTTAGCACTCTTAAAAATCAGTTGGCCATATATTTGTGAGTTTCTTTTTAATTTCAATTTTATTCTATTGGCCTACATGTCTGTCCTTATACTAGTTCCACACTGATTTGATTGCTGTAGTTTTGTGTTAAGTTTTATAATCAGAAACTGTGAGTTATTTGACTTCGTTTTCCTTTTTCAAGATTATTTTGACTGATAATCATTTCATATGAACTTGGGATCACGTTTTCCATATCTGCACAAAATGGCTGTTGTGATTTTGATAAGGATTGCATTGAATCTGAAGAATACTTGCGATAACACTGACAGCTTAACCATATTAAATCTTCTTACCTATGGACATGTTATGTGTTTCCAGTTACTTCTGTCTTTATTCATTTCTCTGGGCAATGTTTTGTCATTTTCAGTGGTTTGGCTGTTAACCTTTTTTGTCAAATTTATTCCTAACTATTATTATATTATTTTATATGTTATTGTCAATGGAATTACTTTCTTAATGTCTTTTTTGATTTTTTTTAATGACGTATAGAAACACTGATTTGTGTTTAGTTTTCTCTTCTCTTCTTCAAGGTATAAAGTTAGATTGTTGAAGTCTTTCTTCTTTTATAATGGATGTTCTTATCTTTTTAAATTTCCTTCTGAGCCCTGCCTTTGTTGCAAAATTTTGGGTAGGTTGTGTTTTTGTTTTCATTTGTCTCTTTTTAAATGTGTTATGGTTTCTTTCATTACCCATTGGTTAAGAGGCTATTGTTTAATTTCTACATGTTTATGGATTTTTCAGTCTTCCTTATTTTTCAAATTTTTATTTCTATAAATTTATGAGTACAAGAGCAGATTTTTTTTTTTTTTTTTTTTTTTTTTTTGAGACGGAGTCTCGCTCTGTCACCCAGGCTGGAGTGCAATGGCACGATCTTGGCTAATTGTAACCTCTGCCTCCTGGGTTCAAGCAATTCTCTTCTCTCTGCCTCCTGAGTAGCTGGGAGTACAGGCACCTGCCACCACACCCAGCTTTTTTTTGTATTTTTAGTAGAGAGGGGTTTCACCATGTTGGCCAGGGTGGTCTTGAACTCCTGACCTCAGGTGATCCACCCACCTCGGCCTTCCAAAGGGCTGGGATTACAGGCATGAGCCACCATGCCCGACCCAAGAGAAGGTTTTTTACATGACTGTGTTGCATATTGGTGAAGTCTGGGCTTTTAGCGTACTCATATAACCTAAAAAGTGTACACTGTACCAAATAGGTAGGATTTCATCCCTCATCCTCCTCTCCACCGTCCACTTTTGGAGTCTCTATTGTCAATTATTCCACTCTGTATGGCTGTTATTTAACTCCCACTTAGAAGTGAGAATATGTCGTTTTTGACTTTGTTTCTGAATCATTACATTTATGATGATCACCTTCAGTTCCATCCATGTTACTGCAAAATACATGATTTTATTCTTTTTTTATGGCTGAGTAGTAGTAGTCAATGGTGTGTGTGTGTGTGTGTATATGTATATATACACACACATCACATTTTTATCACATTTTTAAATTCAGACATTCACTGATGGACACTTAGGTTGATTCCATGATTTTGATATTGTGAATAGTGCTGCAGTAAACATGTAGTTACAAGTATTTTTGATAAAATGATTTACTTTCCCTTAGGTAGATACCAAATACTGGAATTGCTGGACTGAAGAATAATTCTATTTTTAGTTCTTTGAGAAATCTGCATACTGTTTTCCATAGAGGTTGTAGTAATTTACACTTCCACCAACAGTGTATAAGCGTTCCCTTTTATCTGCATCCTCACCAATGTGTTATTTTCAAGTTTTAATAGTAGCTGTTCCGAACGGTGTAAAATGATATCTCATTGTGATTTTAATTTGCATTTCTCTGATAATCAGTGACATTTAGCATTTTTTCAACATGGTTTGTTGGTTTGCTGAAAAATGGTTTTCAAATGGCTTGTTGGCCATTTATGTCTCTGCCTTTGAAAAATGCCTGTTTATGTCATTTGCCCATTTTTTAATGGTGGTAGAATCGAAGCACTGTCTTCCACAATGGTTGAAATAGTTTACACTCCCACCAGCAGTGTATAAGCATTTTTTTCTCCACAACCTCGCCAGAATCTGTTATTTTTGACTGTTTAATGATAGCTATTATCCTTAGCAAACTAACACAGGAACAGAAAACCAAATACCGTATATTCTCACTTATAAGTGGGAGCTAAATGATAAGAACTTATGTATACAAAGAAGGAAACAACAGACACTTTGGTCTACTTGATGCGGGGGGAGGTTGGGAGGAGGGAGCAGAGCAGAAAAGATAATTATCGGGTACTGGGCTTAATACCTGGGTGATGAAAGAATTTGTACAAAAATCCCCTGTGACATGAGTTTACCTATGTAATAACCCTTCACATGTATCTCCAATTATAAAATAAAAGTTAAAAAATTCTAAAACAGGCCAGGCGCGGTGGCTCATGCATGTAATCCCAGCACTTTGGGAGGCTGAGGCGTGTGGAGCACAAGATCAGGAGATCAAGTCCATCCTGGCTAACACGGTGAAACCATGTCTCTACTAAAAAATACAAAAAATTAGCCTGGTGTGGTAGTGGGTGCCTGTAGTCCCAGCTACTCGGGAGGCTGAGGCAGGCTAATGGCATGAACCCGGGAGGCGGAGGATGCAGTGAGCCGAGATTGTGCCACTGCATTCCAGCCTGGGTGACACAGTGAGACTCAGTATCAAAAAAATAAATAAATAGAAATAAAAATGAATAAATAAATCACAATATTAAAATTAATCAAAGTGATGAGATTGGTAACATATTGGCATATGCTTTGCCACTGACAAAACACAGTCATTTATAGTAATTCATTTGCTCCTCAGTATTTAGGGGATGTGTATTATTATTGTTACTCTGTAACCTCTGGTCTCAGGTTAAATGATTTATAGAAAATACACACAGCTATCAGTGGCAGAACGGGAACCAGACCTATGCTTTCTCACTGACAATAATAATTCAGCCTCATTTATTTATTTATTTATTTTAATTTTATCTTACTTTAAGTCCCAGGATACATGTGCAGAACGTGCAGGTTTCTTACATAGGTAAACCATGTAAACCTTACCTTACATAGGTAAGCCATGGTGGTTTGCTGCATCTATCAACTTGTCACCTCGGTATTAAGCCACACATGCATTAGGTATTTGTCCTGATGCTCTCCCTCCCCCTGACCCCCCAGATGGCCCCAGTGTGTGTTGTCCCCCTCCCTGTGTCCATGTGTTCTCATTGTTCAGCTCCCATATATAAATGAGAACATGTGGTGTTTGATTTTCTGTGTTAGTTTGCTGAGGATGATGGCTTACAGCTTCATCCATGTCCCTGCAAACGACATGATCTCATTCCCTTTTATGGCTGCATAGTATTCCGTGGTGTATATGCACCACATTTTCTTTACCCAGTTGATGACTGATGGGCATTTGGGTTGGTTCCATGTCTTTGCTACTGTCAATAGTGTTGCAGTAAACATACGTGTGTGTATCTTTATAACAGAATGGATTTGTATTCCTTTGGATATATACCCAGTAATGGGATTGCTGGGTCAAATGGTATTTCTGTTTCTAGATTCTTGAGGAAATGCTACACTGTCTGCCACAATTGTTACACTAATTTTCATTCCCAACAGTGGAAAAGTATTCCTATTTCTCCACAGCTGCTCTAGCATCTTGTTTTGTTTTGTTTTGTTTTTACTTTTTAATAATAGCCATTCTGACTGGCATAATATGGTATCTCACTGTGGTTTTGATTTGCATTTCTCTAATCAGTGATGTTGAGTTTTTTCGTTATATGTTTGTTGGCTGAATAAATGTCTTCTTTTGAGAAGTGTCTGTTCATGTCCTTTGCCCATTTTTTGATGGGATTGTTGTTTTCTCTTATAAATTTGTTTAAGTTCCTTGTAAATTCGGGATGTTAGACATTTGTCAAATGGGTAGATTGCAAATATTTTCTCCCATTCTGTAGGTTGCCTGTTCACTCTGATGATGGTTTCTTTTGGCTGTGCAGAAGCTCTTTAGTTTAATTAGATCCTATTTGTCAATTTTAGCTTTTGTTCTAATTGCTTTTGGCTATGTCACCATAAAATCTTTGCCCATGCCTATGTCCTGAATGTTATTGCCTAGCCTTTCTTCTAGGGTTTTTATGGTTTTGGGTTTTACATTTATGTCTTTAATCTATCTTGAGTTAATTTTTGTGTAATGTGTGACGAACAAATCCAGTTTTCAGTTTTCTGCATATGGCACGCCAGTTTTCCCAGCACCAACCATTTATTGAATAGGGAATCCTTTTCCCATTGCTTGTTTTTGTCAGGTTTGTCAAAGATCAGATGGATGTAGAGGTGTGGTCTTACTTCTGGTATCTCCATTGTGTTCCATTGGTCTATATGTCTGTTATGGTACCAGTACCATGTGATTTTGGTTACTGTAGCCTGGTAGTTTGGAATCAGGTAGTGTGATGCCTCCAGCTTTGTCCTTTTTGCTTAGGATTGTCTTGGCTATAAGGGTTCTTTTCTGGTTGCATATGAATTTTAAAGTATTTTTTCTAATTCTATGAAGAATGTCCATTGTAGTTTGATGGAAATAGCATTAAATCTGTAAATTACTTTGGGCAGTGTGGCCATTTTCACAATAGTGATTCTTCTTCTTTTTTTTTTTTTTGAGACGGAATCTTTCTCTGTCACCTGGGCTGGAGTGCAGTGGCGTGATCTCGGCTCACTGCGAGCTCTGCCTCCCTGGTTCACGCCATTCTCCTGCCTCAGCCTCCCAAGTAGCTGGGACTACAGGCGCCCGCCACCATACGCAGCTAATTTTTTTGTATTTTTAGTAAAGACGGGGTTTCACCATGTTAGCCAGGATGGTCTTGATCTCCTGACCTTGTGAACCACCCACCTCGACCTTGTGAACCACCCACCTTGGCCTCCCAAAGTGCTGGGATTGCAGGCGTGAGCCACCACGCCTGGCCAACAATAGTGATTCTTACTATGCATGAGGATGGAATGTTTTCCCATTTCTTTGTGTCCTCTCATTTCATTTATCAGTGGTTTGTAGTTCTCCTTGAAGAAGTCCTTCGCATCCCCTGTTAGTGGTATTCCTTGGTATTTTATTCTCTTTGTAGCAGTTGTGAATGGGAGTTCATTCATAATTTAGCTCTCTGCTTGTCTTTTGTTCGTGTATAGGAATTTTTGTGATTTTTGCACATAGATTTTGTATCCTGAGATTGCTGAAGTTGCTTATCAGTTTAAGGAACTTTTGGTCAGCTTCATTTCTACTTTATTTGTGTCATCACATGAATGTATATATAATACCTTTAGGTTCTTAATAGAAATTTCTATAAGAAGAAGATGGGCTTTTAGGATCCAATTTATTTTGTAGCTAGGTTATTTCAAGCAGATTTATTTAGTGTGCTGGAAAAAGAAGTGAATAAGAATGAGCATATTTGAATATTAAATATGTAACTTTCTTAACTAAATCACAATTCCTCCTGGAGAAACTCTTTATCTTGATGTAGCTATGTAAATTGGAAACTTAAGATATGCCTAACAATGTCAGAGCAAGAGATTAAGATGAATGATTGATGTTATAATCAATTTGGTAAAACAGTAATATAATCTTCATCTGCAATTTTAAATGTCTATTGCAATTTGAGAAGCACTATTTTAGTTTTAAGTCAACTGTATATTAATTAATCAAGCTGACCATTGTCTTCAAAAGGAACTTGCTGGAGTATATAAAAATAAATTTTATTCCTAATTTCATCTTTGGGGTCTTGTGTGGGTGTGTTTCACATAAGTTGGATAAAATTGCCATGTTCATGTAAATAATAACCAAGGCAATCTGTCATTTCACAGTAAAGGTAAAAAGGGAGAGAGAGAGAGGAGAAAGAGGGAGTGAAGGACAAAGGAAAAAATATTTCAAGCTCGAATGGACTGCCTACATTTTAAAATTATTAAATGGTTGTATTAATTTCTTGGTGCTGCTGTTATAATTACTAAAAATTTAGCAGCTTACAAAACACAAATTTATTATTTCCAGTTCTAGAGGTTACAAGTTTGAACCTGTTTTCACTAAGATGATATCAAGGTGATTCCTGGTCTGAGCTCCCTTCTGAGTCAATCTGTTTCCTTTGCTTTTCCAGCTCCTAAAGACCCTCATCATTACTCTAGCTCTTGGCCCTTCCTCTATCTTCAAAGTTAACAACATTAGCCAACTGTCTGTCTCAGACTATTCTTGTGCCTCTCTCTTCCATTTTTAATAGTCCTGGTGATTATTTTGGCTCCTCCTAGATAATGCAGGATAATCCTGTTTTTAAGATAATCCAATGAGCAATCAGTATCATTTGTCATCTGAATTACCCTTTGCCTGTTAACTGTGACATATTCACAGGTTTCAGGGATTAGGATGGAGACCATTGAGGGCAGGGGAGATCACGATTATGTCTACCATTCTAATTGATTGATAATTGATCTGTTTCATTTAAAAATAGTTTTACTATTAAATTGAAAACTGCTAGAAGATAGAAGCAATAGTTTCCTACTATGTTAGTCTGTTTTTGCATTGCTACAGAGAAATAACTCATTCAGAAGATGGAGTATATAGGTCTTGGTCATGGCTCTGGATGTGAACTATTAATCTCATGTGACATGCCTTGAAAAGTAGGATGGATGATATTTAAGAATGATTTAATCACAATATAATATTTTCAAATCTCTCTATATTAAGTATAGTAATCATTTATAGGATCATTTTCCCATTTACCCACAAATTGTTTAACATCACTTCATTTCCCACATTTCAACAAAATTGGCAAATAATTTATGTTTCATTGCATGGCTTCTTTTAAGTTTACAACTGTAAAACCAAATGAATAATTAATTGGCAATTACTGATTGTTTGCTTTGTTATTTTCGGTCTTTAAGACAAGTGAATCAAAACAAACTTTCAGAATCAGTCTGTTTACTCATCACCCCTTTATTGTTTGGCAGATGAAATAAATATCTTGGAATCTCAGGCTTAAAATGTACGTTAAGTTTTATTGCATTCTTCCAAAAAAGTTTGAATCTTCTCTCTTACGTCTTTGTAATTTGGTCGTTCTTCTTTTCAACACTTGGTGACAGAACTATCATGACTTCTCAGGACAGTCTGATTTATCTTTAGTCAAAATTGACTAAAAAGATTCACTTTATCTCTAAAAGGGATTACAACATACTTCTATTTAAGATGACATTCAGTTGAGTTACTGCTACCTTTTAAAAAGAATGATAAACATTTTGTTGAGGTAGCTGGCTCACTTTTTAAAGAAAATATCTTAAAATAGAAACCTTTAAGATGTGATAATGTTTCCCAAATTTCTCTGCATACTGAACAGTATATTTGAGTTTCTAATGGGGATAAGGGAGAAAGAAGAATTCCTAAAAACAAGGGGAGAAGAAATGAGTTGACCACAACTTGAAAATATGGCTGCTAACTGGAATTAGCCAGTGAAGATGTTATGACTCTTTAAAAATGTAGACATTTATGCATATCTTATGGATATTTAATATTCATTTTTAGGTTACTCAATTCACTAGTGTTCTAATAGTTTTAAATGGCTAAAAGTATTCTATTTTGTTGAATCACAATAGTTTATTAGATAATTCCCTATTGATGAACATTTTGATTAAATACAATGAACCTACATGGACTGTTCTTAACATCCTTGTAGCTACATCTCTGTGCACATAAAGAACTCTTTGGGATAAATTCCTTGAAATTGAATTATTTGTTCAAAGGGAAAGGACCCCAGAATGTTTTTGTTATTTTGCCCTCTCATGGGCAGTGAATGAGAATGTTCCTATCTCTGAATCACCATAGCTCCTTAAAGTCTTTTGTTTTGTTTTGTTTTTGGAGACTGAGTCTTGCTCTGTCTCCCAGGCTGCCGAGTGCAGTGGCGCAATCTCAGCTAACTGCAAGCTCCACCTCCCGGGTTCACGCCATTCTCCTGCCTCAGCCTCCCGAGTAGCTGGGACTACAGGCGCCTGCCGCCATGCGCGGCTATTTTTTTGTATTTTTAGTAGAGACCGGGTTTCACCATGTTAGCAGGATGGTCTCGATCTCCTGACCTTGGGATCTGCCCGCCTCGGCCTCCCAAAGTGCTGGGATTACAGGCGTGAGCTACAGCACCCGGCCTCCTTAAAGTCTTCTAACTGACCTCAGACATCATAATGCTAAGCAACTGTGAGGTATACATTGTAGGGCTATTTATGTATCAATGTATGCACATGTATATGACATAATAAAAAATTTTTAAAAAACCTACATAGTCTTTTGGACAAGAGACAGATTGCTTTTTATTTTACAGAACAGAAAATTAAGATTTCAAAAAAATTAAATGAGTTATTTAACGTCATCTTGCTAGTGAGACACCAAACTTATCTGGAACTCAAATTTTTGGTTATATTATATGTCCTCTTTAATGTTACTCTATTAGAGAAACTATATACTGTCACACTGTGTAGTGAACTGACAAAATAAATTTTGCTACACAATAACTTAACTGAATGGAAAAGTCTATCTGATGTTAGGCCTGATTTCTATTATTTCATGTATGATTTTAGTCAGTTTAACAACAATAATAACGGCAATACCAAAAAAACCCTGTATAATTTGAAAGAAGCATGGAAGTGTGGTAAGATATCACATATTTTTTAAAAACAATTAATTAAACGGGTACTTTAAAAAAGAGCATTATTTTCTATTTCAGTGCAAATATTGTTTTTATAAGTTTCACAAAATTAGTCACTTTTTAAACACCCTTATAACGGCATCAATTTGCTATGAGCCTAAAGTGGAGAATAGTAGTGAATAACATTTTATCTCAGCTATGACAGCGTGACATGTTGATTTTTCTAATATTTAATATTATATATTCAATACTGAATATAATATAGTTGAATATATTTAATGTAATTTAATTGAATGTTGAATATATGTTAATACTAAATTTTATGTTCAATATTCAACATTGACTTTGCCATTAAGTTGAGTTTCCGTGAGAAGGATATCTATTGCTCTGTTTCTGGGGACTCTCTTAGCCGTTAGGCTATTTCTCTATTTCACAGTCACATTGACTTAGTAAAATTAGAATTTTATAATAATACTTGTTATCTGGACAGGAAAATCTGCCTACTTAAATTTTTTGTGGAGGAGGTTCAGATTGCCTTATTATTCCTGATATTCTTCTATAGAGATTTAGAATCAGCTTGTCCAGTTCCATGAAACTATCATTGATGATCTGATTAAGATTGCATTAAATTTATTCAAAGTTTTTGGTAAAATTATTAACTTTAGGATAGGATAATCTTACATATGGTTATGTTATACTTCTCATTATAATTAACATCTCTTTAATGCCTTTTGATTAAATTTAATAATTCATTCCATAGCAGTAGCAGTCTCACAGAACATGCATTACATTTTTCTCAAGTCAAATTTGTTTTCTAATTGTATTTAATTTTCTGTAGATTCTTTTGGATTTTTTTTCTATAGAAAACCATATTTTATGTGAACCATGTTAGTTTTATTTTTTCCTCAAAACAATATACATATTATAGATCTATATTTTTCCTTAGTAAGACAAGAACTATATATAGTATAGAGTTGAATTAAAGTGGTGATTCTAGCCAAATATAAAACCACATTGTACTTTTGTGTAATGTTCTTAAGTGAAATATCCCTGTTCCTAAATGAAATGTTTCAGCATGTCACCAATAAGTTTGATGTTGATAGAGGTTATGTTGTACCTGACAACTTCAGGTGGAGAAATTTACTTCTGTTCTCATTTCCTAAACAGTGACAATTATTGTGGTTAATCATGATGAACTTTTTGAATGAATTTTCTCTATCTTCTAATATCTTTCTATATTGTTCTCCATCAGTCAATTACTATGGTGAATTTTATTAATTGTCTGCCATTAAACCAAACTTATATTCCAGTGATAGATGTTAAAGGAATGGTCCTGATAATTCTTTATTGCTGGTTTCCATATGATAATACCTTTTTTAGAAATTTGGTATCTATCCCTAGGAATAAATGTGAGCCTTTAAATTTTCTTTCTTGTGTAATTCTGATACCAAACCTGGCAGAGACACACACAGAAAAAGAAAATTTCAGGCCAGTATCCCTGATGAGCATCGATGCAAAAATCCTCAAAAAAATACTACCAAACTGAATCTAGCAGCACATCAAAAAGTTTATCCACCACAATCAAGTGGGCTTCATCCCTGGGATGCAAGGCTGGTTCAACATACGGAAATCAATAAATGTAATCCATCATATAAACAGAACCAATCACAAAAACCACACGATTATCTAAATAGATTCAGAAAAGGCCTTTGATAAAATTCAACACCACTTCATGCTAAAAACTCTCAACAAACTAGATATTGATGGAATGTATCTCAAAATAATAAGAGCTATTTATGACAAACCCACAGCTAATATCATACTGAATGGCCAAAAGCTGAAAGCAGCATTCCCTTCAAAAACTGGCATAAGACAAAGTTAACCTCTCTCACCACTCCTATTCAACATAGTATTGGAAGTTCTGGCCTGGATAATCAGAACACAAGAAAGAAAGAATGTGTATTTAAATAGAAAGAAAGTGAAATTGTCTCTGTTTGCAGATGTCATGATTGTATATTTAGAAAACCCCACTGTCTGAGCCCAAAATCTCCTTAAGCTCATAAGCAAAATCAGGAAACTCTCAGGATACAAAATCTATGTGCAAAAATCACAAGCATTCCTAACACCAATAATAGACAAACAGAGAGCCAAATCATGAGTCAACTCCCATTCACAATTGCTATAAAGATAATAAAATACCTAGGAATACAACTTACAGGGGATGTGAAGGACTTCTTCGAGGAGAATTACACACCACTGCTCAAGGAAATAAGAGGGGCCACAAACAAATGGAAAAACATACCATGCTCATGGATAAGAAGAATCAGTATCATAAAAATGTCCATAGTGCCCAAAGTAATTTATAGATTCAATGCTATCCCCATCAAGGTACCAATGACTTTCTTCACAGAATTAGAAAAAACAACTGTAAATTTCATATGGAACCAAAAAAGAGCCCACGTAGCCAAGACAATCCTAAGTAAAAAGAACAAAGCTGGAGGGATCATGCTACCAGACTTCAAACTATAATACAAGGCTACAGTAATCAAAACAGCATGGTACTGGTGCCAAAACAGATATGTAGACCAATGCAACGGAACAGAAACTTCGGAAATAACACCACACATCCACAACCATCTGATCTTTGACAAATCTGACAAAAACAAGCAATTGGAAAAGGATTCCCTATTTAATAAATGCTGTTGGGAAAACTGGCTAGCCATATGCAGAAAACTGACACTGGACCCTTTCCTAGCACCTTATACAAAAATTAACTCAAGATGGATTACAGACCTAAATGTAACACCTAAAACCATAAAAACCCTGGAAGAAAACCTAGGCAATACCACTCAGGACATAGGTGTGGGCAAAGACCTCATGACTAAAACACCAAAAGCAATGGCAACAAAAGCCAAAATAGACAAATGGGATCTAATTAAACTAAAGAGCTTCTGCATAGCAAAAGAAACTATCATCAGAGTGAACAGGCAACCTACAGAATGGGAGAAAGTTTTTGCAATCTCTTTATCTGACAAAGGGCTAATATCCAGAATCTACAAAGAACTTAAATTTACAAGAAAAAAACAACCCCATCAAAAAGTGGGTGAAGGATATGAACAGACACTTCTCAAAAGAAGACATTTATGTGGCCAACAATTATGAAAAACACCTCACCATCACTGGTCATTAGAGAAATGCAAATCAAAACCACCTCAATCCAGTTAGAATGGCGATCATTAAAAAGTCAGGAAACAACAGATGCTGGAGAGAATGTGGAGAAATAGGAACACTTTTACACTGTTGGTAGGAGTGCAAATTAGTTCAACCATTGTGGAAGACAATGTGGCGATTCCTCAAGGATCTAGAACTAGAAATACCATTTGACCTAGAAATCCCATTACTGGTTATATACCTAGAGGATTATAAATCATTCTACTATAAAGACACATGCACAGCTATGTTTATTGCAGCATTGTTCACAATAGCAAAGACTTGGAACCAACCCAAATGTCAATCAATGATAGACTGCATAAAGAAAATGTGGCACATATAAACCATGGAATACTAAGCAACCATAAAAAGGATGAGTTCATGTCCTTTGCAGGGACATGGATGAAGCTAGATAACATCATTCTCAGCAAACGAACACAAGAAGAGAAAATCAAAAACTGCATGTTCTCACTCATAAGTGGGAATTGAACAATGAGAACACATGGACACAGGGAGAGGAACATCACACACTGGGGCCTATTAGGGGATGTGGGACTAAGGGAGGGATAACATTAGGAGAAATACCTAATGTAGATGATGGGTTGATGGGTGCAGCAAACCACTATGGCACACGTATACCTATGTAACAAACCTGCACATTCTGCACAGGTACTCCAGAACTTAAAGTATGATAATAAAAACTTCATATATTAGGGCATCAGCTTTTTTTTCAATTCTCTGGAAAGGTATTTACAAGATTGGAATTTTATTTTGTAAATGTGTCAGTACACATACACACACACACACACGGGTCAAGTACTCCCCAGTGAGATGCTATACTCTGCATTCACACACACACACACACACACACACACACACACAGATGTGTGCATCTCAGTGTCACAATTTAAGCTTTCTCAAAAAAAAAAAAAAACACTACCTATTGAAAATATTGAATATCTGTTTACCCTGTTCATGGTGAGATATTTGCTAAGTGGATCAAGGGATTCCCAAAATGTAAAAGCACATATCTGGATTATAAAAGTTGTGTATTTTACCTCTGACTTATCAGAAGAGGCCCATTTATATCAGCAGGTCTAATGCTCATCTCTAATGCATTATTTTTGTAGGTCAGAGGACAAACACCTTTAAAGATACATCTTTAAAGATACATTTTGTAGGTCATAGGACGACCATCTTTAAAGATACATGCCATCTTTAAAGATATTATGGCAACCTTTAAAACACAGGTTACCATAATAGCCCAATAATTTTGAAGATGCTTGGACTTCCCTGTAAACTATGGATAATTTTAATCGTTATAAATTGCAAAAAGCAGTAATGGCTTACTCTGCTTGAAATTCCTCTAAGAAAAATATACAGTGTTCACAGTAATCAACGCTGAGCATGTGATGAGTGTTCTTGCTGTAGAAACTTCATTATTAAGGAAACCAGACATTGGTTCTGGAGAAACGTGCCATTTCTTTAGTTAAAAGTAAAAAGAATGCTACCAGTCCTCTTATGGTTAAAAAACAAATGAAAGTAAATGGAGCTTTCTAAAATTTACCTATCGGTATACATGAATTACATGGCAAGTGATAAAATAAAAATCAAAGGAGCAACCTTGAGCAACAAAAGGTAAATAATCTCACAGAAACAAAAAAGATGAAGAGAATTTATCTGGGCATTAACACACATGTTCTGATTCTCATTTGGACTCTATGCATGTCGTACTATCTTGTTATTGGATGATAGGCTTATGAGGCTTTCAGTTTTTACGTGAATTTTTGTAAAACCTGGTTATTAGTAAATGAATGACAATTACATATTAAGGCAAGCTGTGTGTACGAAGATTCTGAATCTTTTCTCATCGGCAGAGAGACCCAAAAAAATTGTAGGTAAAACTTTGATGTTTTAAAGTCTCTTAGATATCTTGAGGTAAGAAGGAAATTCTAAATAAATTGTGGTTCATGAGACACTATGTTAAAAAATAATTTCATATGTCAGTTTATGTAGATTAACTATGCAGCTCAGGCTCATAAAGCTATTGATACAATTAGCATCTTTTGAACATACAATATTTTGTTTTTCAGAGTAAAAAATATTTGTAGAAGTTTCAGATAAATCTATAAACCAATGCAATATTTGAAGCCCCCAAAGACAATTATGTACCATCTGTTTTAGACAATTTCTTTACTGATTTTTATTTTCCATAGAAAGCACTTTGATATCAATGTACCAGAAGTCCTAAGGAATAAAGAATTAAGCAATGAAAGTGCTGCTGAGATGAATCTCTAGCGCTGTGCATTCCATTTGGTAATGGTCGGTATGACCTGCCAGTGGAAAACACAGTTTCTCCCTTTATGAGTACTAGCAGTAGGAAGTCATTTTGTTTCTCTTCAGAAAGTAATCTAAATAGTGGTGAAGAGCTTGAAGAATAAAATAAGGAAAAAAGATAGGATTAAGGAATTTACTAATTTCCACCCCCACCCCCCAAAGAAACCTCAGTTTATGGTGTAACTGATGGGAGATTTCTAAATAAATGAATTTCCACAAAGCTTGAATTTCACTGGATTAATGATAGAGGTTATCAAGGAAAGGGTTATACAAAAAAAAATTAAAAAAGATTTACGTTCATAAGAATAAGTGTGAGTTCAAAGAGCCAAGACTAGTATCAGCTATCATATCTGTATTTTAGGTAAAATGTCCAAATCTTAAGACAAAATATACTGCTGGATTAAGTACGTTGAAAGCTTATCTAGACTTTATGTAAAGGTGGTAAAAAGATAATTTACCTAGGAATCTTAATCTTCTCAGTTTCATCATTAATCATTAATAAAATTTTTAAAAATGTAATAAATGACAGTATGGGTAGCTCATGTGCTATCAAATAGGTTAATGCATATTTTTGCATTTCAACTCGTTAAAATTATAATGTTTATAATGAAGCTGTAAATTGAATCAAATATTGCTGCCTTTTAAAAAGTGCATACCCATAGAGATTATGTTTGCTAAAGGGGCATTCTTGATTATGCTTTCTCACTCAGGATTCTCTAGAAGCCTCAGGTGTGTATGTTACTTCTCATTTGCTTACTGGTTTTATTTAAGTAAAGGGCAAAACAACAACCTCAGTAATCACATACTTTGGAATTAACTATTTCCTGAGAATATATATCTCAAGAGTTATTGGATGTAAGAGTAACGAAGAAAGCTCTGCTCGTCCACTGTAATTTTTTCATTTTTTTTGGAGGTAGGAATTAGAAAATGGATTATTTATGTACAATTTTTAAAAATGTCGTTTCCATCAAACCACATATTCATTCAATTTGGAAATAATTTATTTTCTTTTTAATTCTGTTTTCTTTACATGTGATTTTAAATTTCAAGTATTACTCTTATTGTTGACTAAAAGGAATAGAAATAATAAATGAAGAGCTTTTCCTCCTAAAACTCAGAGAAACAACTGCTAGTAAAACATAACTTCTTGAAGGTTACAAAATGAGAGCCATATGGAAGTCTGGATCGTTTCCAGTGCTGATATATTTTAGTCTAATTTCATTAGTAACAAACAACTTATTTCTGAAATGTACTTAATTTTGAAGAAAATAGCTTTATTTTAATGCATTTTCCTTTTGATCACCAGCAGTCTTTTTCCTTATCTCTTTTTGTCTTCTGACACTGTTTAAGTGGATGAGAGGATATTATTTGGCATCCAAGAGTAAAGGCTTTCAAATATTTTTTTAAATGATGAAAAAAATGCCAAATGAAAAGTCCAAACAGATTTTGAAACAATTTCTTTTTAGAAATCCTGGCAGCTTATTTTTCAGTCCTAAATGAACAATATGGTGTTCTTTTTTGCTTTCCTCCCAAGACAATTAATAATGTTATTTCCCTGTTTCACTAGAAAAAAATCACTTTGGCTATGCTCATAATAACAGTTTCAATACATTCAGATAATCATCGCAGGATGTTGATTTGTGTTAAAGTGTTAAACAAGGAGATACACTAGGAAACAGAAACTTAGCATGTTTTACCTATCAATTATAAAATAGAAAGCATTTTATGCATGCTTTTGTTAATTATTTTATTCATGTTCTTTAATTTACTGATCCTTAACTATGTAGCAGAATCCATGATCAGTACTAAGTATACAACTGTTATCGAGACAGGCTTTGACTTCAAGAAAGTCGTAAGTTACTGGATAAGAGCTTAAAGCAAATTGCAATGCAATGTTAGAAATATATACCAGTAATTTTTACAAGGACCTGCGGCAACTGGGCAGAAGGAGAAGCAAGCGGCAAGAACCAAGAAAATGTTTCACAGATACTATAATTTAGATTCAGATCTTGAAAAATGAGAAGAGATTACCATCAAATGAGGAGAAAGAGGTTGCATATGCTGAGAACAAGAAGGGGTTCTCATGAGTTGTCTTGTCACTGAAATGTAAAATCCACACAACTGCTAAGCAGTAAATCCTAAGAAATCTGGGCTTGACTTCTACAGACACTGGGTTCTTAAAATATTTTAAGTGAGAGTTACAAAGTCAATTTTGTGTTTTAGAACATCATTTGGCACCAGTATGGAGGAATCATGAGCAGAAAATGTATGTGATATTGAAGCTGTGGAAACAAGTACGCTAATAAGGATGTTGAACAAGAAAGGACATCTCAGTATACTTCCCGGGTTCACCTGGTTGTGTGGAATATGGTTTTACCATTAATCAAACTAGAATTAAAAAACAAAAGGAGAAAACTCAAAAAAGGCTGGAAATCTGGATCCTTATCAATATTTATTAATTACCTCCCATCCATCATGTGGTGCGCAAGAATACAATGGCATATAAGGAATGTATCTTCAATTTTTTTGGCCTGAAACGTAAGCAACTGTTATAATTAAAAATATAAAATGTAAGAATAGATATGGTAGTTTAAAGACAAGTACTACAGGCAGTAAACCCTAAATATGTTCAGAGAATGAAGAAATCTGCATATGCCTTAAGAGGTGGGAAAATTAGTAAAGATATTTTATACGTAAGTGGAAGAAAAGATGTTTGAACACACAAATGGGCTCAGATTACAGGAGTATTGAATGCTGGGCAAAAGCAGTGTCCAGGAAAATAATTATAGCTTTTTGCACAGGTGAGATATCAATGGTTTTGATAAAATCACTCCAGCAATGTATAGGTTGTATTTTGTGGTGGTAAGTGGAGGCAAAAACACCACTTAGATTATTAAAATAACACAAATAGGAGATGTAGTATATGTTGAAATAGGTTGACATTTCTTCTTTCGAGAGGTAATAAATTTTTCAGTATTCAAAGCAATCCTTTTTAATGGAATACAATAAATGCCAATTAATATTTTTTTCCAGTATTGTTACTCCATCCTTTCCCCAAAATAATTTATTTTCTGTTGATCTGGAGTTGCAAACTCATTTCCACTAGTATTTAAGGAGGAATGAGAAGAGTTATTAGTATACAAGTTTTGACGTGTTTGAAAAAATAATCGTATAATTCTGTTAGAAATTGCAAGTACCTTAGAGATCATGTTATTCATGATCTGGTTTTTAATTTTACAAATAAAAACCAAAGGGCTTTAAATACTTGGCCAAGATTTAAAAACAAATTATAAGTAAACCTGGGAATAAGACAAGTCTATTCCCAGCTTAATCTAGATTTTAGTACCAATTTAGATTTGGGGGAAACAGAAGCAAATAAAGAAAAAGAAAGTAAGGTAGGAAGACTTCCAAAAAGTTTGAATATATTTACTAACACAGATTCAAATTTGAAGATCATAAATAAATAGGAATCTTCTGTTCCTTGAGATCTAGAAAAATATCCCTGGACCTGAAAAGCTAAGATACCTGTCAAGTGCCATAGGGCTGGGAGGCTAGCTGTTTATGTCCTGTTAACCTTTGCCCCATGGACTCTGGATTCCTCTTGTAGTTGCTCTTTCACATCATGTTGATATCTACATAAAATCCATTCCCTTCTTTGCACCCCCCCCCCACAAAAAAAAAAACTCAAAAAATTCATGATCATAGTTGATTTTATTGGAAAAATAAAGGCCAGCAAAAGTTCTCATTTGGCACATATCAGGTCAAATAACTTAAAAATATAATTTCCTGCCTGACTTTCTTTTTCTCAATGTGAGGTGTTCTTGCCTTTCTTGGTTGTTTGCTTTCTCTCTGGTGCTTCTTGGGTTTCCTTTTCTTGTGCTACCTCTTCTTCTGGGACCAGTGACTTCTGTAAAAAATACATGGATGTCAATCGGTGAATAATGAGTAGCGTAGGATATAACATTTATAGTATAGATAGCATTTAGAATATAGATAGCCACATCAGAAGAGGTGCTTACATTTAATTTTAATAATTTGTTTTTGAGCGTGTGGCATTTTATGTTAGGCATTTGTAAAGGGTAGTATCCTAGCTTATGTCTTAAACGGTCTTTAAATACAAAGTAGGACCATAATCCATATCTGCCTTTTCTCCTTTCCGGCAAAGCAGAATATGCCATCCTTATTCTTTCCTGCAGAAGCCAGAAATTATCATATGAATGGTTTCTACTACTTTTGGACCCTGAATTTTCTTAGTTTTATTCTGACAATTGCAGTAGCCAACAGTATAGGTTTTCCCTATGTCTTGTAACATTGTAGTGAGTTTAAATTATCTGAAACATCCTTTGTAGGATTTTATAATCAAGCAGTGTTGAACATTGTACCCTTTTGAACAGCCCCTTAAAATAGCAATGAAAAACAAACATTTATTCAATAAGTTTACATATACATATTAATATGTGTCTCTGTTGTGTTCCTTTTGTCCTTTTTATGTCTATCCTTCTTTTTTGTTTCTATGGTTTCTAGAGCCTGTGATATGAGAATTCATGACAGTCTGTCTTTTCTCTAAGTGAGCATAAGTAAGTCAGATCTGTCCTTATGTACCAAACAAATGTTGACAAATTGTTAGGGTTTCCAGATCAAGTATATGATGTCTTACTAATTTTGAATTTACTTGATTACTCAAGATATGCTTTCAGTATAAGTATATCCCCTGTAAATATCCTATACTTATACTAAAAAATGATTTGATGTTTATCTGAAATTCAAATGAGCTCAGTGTCATATATTATTAATTGCTAAATCTCACAACCCTACTAGTAATCTACATGGTAAAAATTTTCAATTCTTGAGAGAGACAGTTTTTTTTTAAAGTTTGTTGTTGTTGTTGTTGTTATTATTTTTAATATAGTCTCCGTTTGTTGCCCAGGCTAGAATGCAGTGGTGCAATCTCAGCTCACTGCAACCTTTGCCTCCCAGGTTCAAACTATTCTCCTGCCTCAGCCTCCCAAGCAGCTGGGACTACTGTGCACCACCATGCCCAGCTAATTTTTGTATTTTTAGTAGAGAGGAGAGGATTTTTGCCCTGTTGGACAGGCTGATCTGGAACTCCTGCCCTCAAGTGATCTGCCTGCTTCGTCCTCCTAAAGTGCTGGGATTCCAGGCACGAGCCACTGTGCATTTTCTGATTTTTAATTTTTTTATGCTGTTAGACTTCATACCTGGTTCAGGTGGCTTTTATCATCCCTTACTGATTTCCTTTAAGATTATCTGTGTTGCTTATTAATTTTGTACCTTTGGCTCATTCAGGACAAAAACAGGGAGAGTGAATTTCTCATTTTCTAGAGGCCTGCATTTTGTTAATCACTCGTATTATTTAGTTTAAAATTTCGCCCTTTACGTGGTATGATTACATATTTATTTCTTCAAGAATCCTTTAAAAATGATTATTTTTATATTGGCACTCAGAATTGAGACCTCTATCAGTTTTTAATTCTCACTGAAAATTTAAACTTTGATGACATTCTGTTATTTTTATTTTCACTGATAGAGTTTGTGCTTAGTAAGTATGCCATTATGTATTTGAAAGTAAATATTACCGATGTTTAATTATATTTCTGTCACCTTATCTGGGAAATTTTCATAATCATGAAATAGTTATCCATGTGCAAAGTTTAAAAATTAATTTTCACTATCTTTTCTGGGATGCATATCTTATTACAAAATGCCAGAGTCTCTCTTTGAGATATACAAATGTATATCTTGTAATATTCTTTCAAATGCTATCCCCACTATAATCACAAAATTAGTGTTACCTCAAACTACTGTTTTACTTTTAAAGACCCACCTTGAGGAATGTTCCACTAGTAGAAATAAAATAAATATCTTCCAAAATATCAAAAGAATAAACCGCTTAAATAATTTCTCAAAATTCATGAAAAAAAGTTTTAAAAACAAGGACCATATGTCCTACAGAGTCTCAGGAGCGACAGAGAGAGAGAGAAGAGAGAACACTATTAAGCCCATTAAGAGTTCAACAAATGCCAATAGCTTTTAGCTTATAAACAGAAATCTGTAATCTTAGGGATTTACTGCAGCAGAACCTGGTAAGTAAGTTTGCCCTCAGCAGCATAATATAGATGAAATCATATAGTCTTTGAAAAAAAAATCTCTTCCTGTTCTATTCATGATCAAGGTCTGTATTGCTATATTATGCAAAGGAGTCATCTGATGCTTCTAATACATTTCCATATATAGCAATTTAGTTTTAAGGAATTGGAATTTTAGCTTTAATTTCCTAGTGGCAATTTCATCATTGCCTCTTGAATTAATATATTTTACATGATTTTTCTCATTAGACAAAAACAGATTTGTTTTGTATGCTTCAAATACATATTTTTAAATTACATTGTATAGTTTATCTAGTGTTGAAGCCACTGATGGAACAGGTATGAGGTTCTTAAAGCAAGAACTTTGAAGAAGATTAGACCAGAAAACAAAATCATCAAGTTTATTTTGAGGGTGATAAAGACATTTATGCAAAATTACAGAAAAGATTTTCTCAATGTCATCTTATTTGGAACATTTTTTTCCCACTTGATTTTGGTAATTGAAGTATCCTTCCATTTTGCTCAGTTAAATTATGAAAAAGCTATGAGAATCTGGAAAAAAATGGATTCAGTAAATGAAAGTTGAGATAGAGTATCCTTCAACCTCCTGAGAAAAGTGTTAGAGTATATGACCTCTTCGGAAAGCTACAATTCCATATGAAACCAACTATAACACCAGAATTTAAAGCAGTTCATGATTTTAGATTAAGCCCTAACTCCAGAGAGGTCAAAGTAACATGACATGTTCTCTAGCTTTTCGTGGTTACTGTAATCAAAGGTGGGAGCTCTATGTGTGAGAACTGCTAAACATCTATGAGGGTTTGTCTTTAAAAAACCAATAATAGGCTACACTGGAACTCACCTCCACATTTTCATTCATGACCTGCTATTATTTATAGAAACACAGAATTGAGTATTGTGACTTAGCCCTCCCTCAATTTCACTTAACTGGAAAATAAGGCAGGGGACAGAGATGAGCTTTTGTTCTTTAAAGAGAGAGTGGGAATACTCACTGACTTTTGACTTTTATAAATAATTTAATTTTAAAATTGGTTAATATAATGACATTTAGATTTACCTTGATTGACTCTTCCCTGCCTGGTGATATTCTTCCAATTCTTCTCATTCATATCCTGTGATACGGTTTGGCTCTGTGTCCTCTCTCAAATCTCATCTAGAATTGTACTCCTATAATGCCCACGTGTTGTGGGAGGGACCTGGTGGGAGATAATTTGAACCATGGAGGTGGTTTCCCCCATAATGTTCTCACGGTCGTGAATAAGTCTCACGAGATCTGATGGTATTATCAGGGGTTTCTGCTTTTGCGTCTTCCTCATTTTTCTCTTGCCACCGCGATGTATGAAGTGCCTGTTGCCTCCCGCCATGATTCTGAGGGCTCCCCAGCCATGTGGAACTGTAAGTGCAATTAAACCTCTTTTTCTTCTCAGTCTCGGATATGTCTTTATCAGCAGTGTGAAAACGGACTAATACATCATATGTACCTGTTTTAAGTTTTCTCTGTTTTGGAAGAATATTTGATGCATAAACATAGAGATGAAAGCCACTGTGTGGACTTGCTTATACTGACTGCTATATTCATGCTACCCCCAGGCACTGAAGGAGCCGTATTTGGGCACTCTGTGGAGACGCCGCACATCAGAGCAGAGCCATCCCAAGATCTCAGGTAAGGGCTTCCTCTTATACCTGTGGCATAAAATCCATCATTGTTGATAATCCTTAATATATGAAGAACTAAAATAGACAACTAGACAAATGTTTCTCCCAATATACTTAAAATAAATACAAAAATGAATATATTAGATAGGAAGAATGTGGAAAAAAAAAGAAAAGGCAAAGGCAGTTATACAGTAAGTGAGAAGAACTAATAAAAACAGGGATCCTGAGGCCGGGCACGGTGGCTCACACCTGTAACCCCAGCACTTTGGGAGGCCAAGGTAGGAGGATCACTTGAGATCAGAAGTTCAAGACCTGGCAACATAGTGAGACCCTGTCTCTACGAAAAATAGAAAATAAAAACAAATTAGCCGAGCATGGTGGTGCACATGTGTAGTCCAAGTTAGTCAGGAGGCTGAGACCAGAGGATTGCTTGAGCCCAGGAGGTCGTGGCTGCAGTGAGATATGATCATGCCGCTGTGCTCCAGCCTGGGCAACACAGCAAGACCCCATCTGTAAAAACAAAACAAAACACAATACAAAAACAAAAAAAGGAATGCTGGAAAATCCGACATATATAATGAAATGTGTGGTGTATATAGGAATAAAGACAGGGCAAATAGGGCGCTGAGAAAGCTATAAATGACCACGGAGTATTATATAGAGGGTAATATGGAAGCAAATCAGACAAAGGCAGAACTTAACTGGACTATGATGGGGTTCCTCAGTCTAATATTTCCAATGGAATAAGCTATGTCCTGACAGTGTGATGGTTCTAGGAGGCATTTATATGTAAAAGCTCTCACTACCCAGGAAAATTCCAACATTATAGGGAATTCTTCCCAGGATAATTATTACCACTGTTGATTACATTCAAAATAATAAAATCTAGATCCCTAATACAAAACTGCTCAGTGGATGTTTTTTTTTTTTATTTATTTTTTTATTTTTATTTTTGAGATGGAGTCTCGTTCTGTCACCCAGGCTGGAGTGCAGCGGTGCTATCTCGACTCACCTCAAGCTCCGCCTCGCAGGTTCACGCCATTCTCCTGCCTCAGCCTCTCGAGTAGCTAGGACTACAGGCGCCCGCCATTGTGCCCGGTTAATTTTTTGTATTTTTAGTAGAGACGGGGTTTCACCATGTTGCTCCGGATAGTCTCTATCTCCTGACCTTCTGATCCGCCCTCCTCGGCCTCCCAAAGTGCTGGGATTACAGGCGTGAGCCACCGCGCCTAGCCTGTTCTTAATTCAATACGTAAGATTTGGTGATTACTTATGGTTTAATAATAATTAATTTATGATAGCTAAATTACATTCTGAAATGCACTTACTATTGTATAGGAAAAGGAAAGATGCACATAGTGCTGATAAAAACTAGTCACATACTAAAAGTCACTTTTAAAGTTGGATCATAGTATCAACCTGAGAGACACAGTTGGTGTCTTGGGAAGCAAAATAAAAACATTAAGTTACAAAACCTTTTTATTTCATAAGGATTGCTGTTTAGCCCTTCACATTGGATGAGTGTATATGTACTCAGATGGAAACAAAAAATAAATAAAGTTGAAAATCTTTAAGGCAACGAAACCATACTTTACAACAGTAAATTTTTTAGTCAGAGTCCTATGATAAAATTTCCTAAACAACTCAGTTTCTCACTACTTGAGTAACACAGATTCAAACAAGCTAGGGAACAATATTTATTAGGAAAAAAAGTGGCCTTCTTCAAGGACTAAGACTTATTTTAGAAGAGCAACATGATAATTACCTACTCTATATAGAAACCCTAGGGATTCAGCAGTGCTGAGGAGTGTGTGTAAACAGCATCTCATAGGATGCTACGGTCTTCATTTATGGCTCTTTTTTCAGGCAGGAATTCAACAACTTTTGTGAAAATATTTATTGTATCTTTCTTCTCCTAACAAACTGTAAATTCCATTAGAACAGGATACACATCTGCCTTGTTTATCCTTAATGCTGTAGCAGCCAGCACTGTTATCTTACCACATCCTAGTTGCAATAAGTATTTGTTAATGTGAATTACTGAAACTTAGCAAAGCTGAAAAATGAGGACATTAACTAAATGAATGGGATATAAGGAAAGTGGCTGCAGTTATTACAAAGGAACATGTGAAGAGCATTGATTCCAATTTTTTTCATCTGTGTTTTAATATAGACACAGCTGTTTACCAATTTATTCAATAAACTTAAAATACATTTATAGAAGTATTTTTAAATTTACTTAAATTTATACTTAAAGAACTTTTTTTTATTTCTAACGTTTTGGTAACTATATGCTCATTTTATAATTTTTACTGTGGAAAGTCTTGTTAAAAGAGGAATAAGAACCAACTGGTATTTTAATTATCTTGCTGACATATTTCACAATTCATAAGTGAAAATGCGAATGATATTACATCTAGTGTATGGTGTTTCTGGTTTTCATTTTCTAATTATTCATCATTATGTAAACATTGCACTAAGCTGGATTTATCAGCTGGTTCTAAAAGCAGACTGGCAACCCCCAAGATAAGTGTTACTAAATTTCCAAACTGAAACAGAAGAAAAGTAGAGTAATTATGTAGGTATTCAATTATTTATTTGTATAATGAAAATTAAAAGCAGGGTGTCTGAGAAAAACTTTACAAGCCTTGCTGACAATTTTCCTTTCAGAGAGGTAAGTACTGTTTGTTGGTTGATGCCTACTTCTAATCAACACGGTTTCATTGGTTGGCCAAGTCAATAAAATGTTAATTTAGGGAGTAAGTAGCCACATTTTCTTTGGTTTTGTTATTGTGAAGAACAAAAAGACTTTAGAAAAGAAATACATTTCAAAAGTTTATTAATAGAGTATTAATATTTTGGTGAAGAAATGTAGTGGATTTCTATAACTTATTTATTCAGCAGCTGTTTGATGAGTGAGTGTCTAGTATTTCTCAAGTTCTGTGCTAGTTTCCATGTGCATTTTAAAACTGTGGATTTTCTTTGAATTTTTCTTAGATAAGATGATACTGTTTTGTACTAGGAGTCTATATTTTAAAAGGCTAAAAAAAACATGTTAAATAGTTAACAAAGACATAACAGTAAATTTGCCCAGAACAGCCTAATGTTTGTTTTTATTTCTTACATTAATATATAGTTAAGTTACTACAGTTTGAAGAGTTTCTGTACCTATGGTAAAAAGTGATGAAACTAATTATACAGTGCTCATTTCCTAAAGATTTTTTTTGGATCTGAGATCCATTAACTACTGAATAAGAAAATAAATGTTAATTCATTTTACAGAATCCAAGTGCAGATTAATCATATAATTGGCATCTTTTCATAATTCTCATTGTTGCAAAAATACAGCTTAACACAGAAATATTAAGGTTTGCAGGCTCCAAGTTAATCTCTAGAAACACATAGCTCTAATACACATCATTAATAAATACACATCATTAATATATTCAAGGAAAAAAACTCTATTAAGCAGTCAGGATTTTGTCTGAGACATTTCCTCAATAAAGGGGTAAATTGCTTGGCTGGTGTTCTTCTACCTATGAGAAGAACATAATGATAAAGTAGGGTATTTGCTTTCTTTCCTTTCCTTTTCCCTCTCTTTCTTTCTGTTTCTCCTGATGCTTAAGTTCTGCTTAATATTTAATAATTGCCTCTTGCAACTTAGGTTGTTTTAAAGTCTGAATTCTTCTTTTTTCTGAATGTTGAGAATTCTAGAGATTTAGGCCACAGATTTTTTTTTTAATTTGATAGTTGCATAACACCTTAAAAACTGTATCTTGTTGCAACTTTGATACATAAACACCATAAAAAAACAGAATGCTTTGAAAAACCAGGTGGTAGAGGGACTATCCTTCTCTCTGCCATAATCCCAGGTACCCACTGTGAAAGCCAGTCTGAAACTTACTGCTATATTTGCTGTAGTGCTTTCCAAATGAATACAATTATAAAAATGAATACAATTATAATTCACTAATTTCACTGACTAATTACATAGAAATCCACAAGTAGTACCAATAAACTTGGGTTTCCTTTTTCAACAGGCTTTTTAGACGATATTTTATAATAACATGAATAGTTTAATTGAAAACCTCTACTATAATGTAAGTAAGTCTGTGAAACCCTCCTCAGTGGACAGGAGACTTTCCATACAAGAGAGAAGTGGGACAACATTTAATTGTTGATACTGTGTTGCTAAGAGTCTGCGTAGTTCTAGAAGGGTTGTGTATCAGGGAAAATCAGTGATAAAAAATACATTTTAACATTCAAATTTTGACATTTAGATACTGTGCGTAAAATGCTAATAGTAAATTTTATTAAGCAGTAGGATTGTGAGTGATTGTCTTCAAGTTTTCAAATATTCTATGGAAAATATGGGGAGTTTTAATAAAAAAAATACAGACGTTTCTTAAAAATAGACACATTCAAAACCTCACCCCTCCAGGGATTATATGAAGCTAGATCTCCAAATGGCCCATAGGGATTAAAATTTTTAAGTTGCTTTGGTGAGTGAAAAAAAAAGAAAATGGAAGTGTTGAAACCACTTCTCAATGCTGGCTCTACTCCTTCCATATCACTTTTAAGCTTTTAGGTTTCACTTTCTTGCTGAGAGGGAGCTGAACTCCAGAGACCTAACCATTTGAGGTGGTTCTTTCTGCAAAACAACTCTGAATTCATTGCCTCAGAAAACAAAAACAAAACCAGTTGTGCTGGATAACAGTGAATGTGAGCCCGAGGGGACCCTCCTCTTAAAGTCCTGTGGTAGGGCGATCACAGGCAGGTGCATCCCCAAGGCAGAAAGCTGATCTAAAAAGACCAGTGCATGGATCCTACCTCTTCTCATCCTAGCACTTTTTACCACTGTATTCTAGTTCCTGTGTTGTGTGTCATTTTTGCTTTTTCTCTAGTGTTATATTTGAAGATAGTTTGAAAACTGCCTCCCAACTCTGACTGTCTAAAACACTTGTTTCTTGCCCTCCTAATTTATGTAGCCAACCTTCAATCGCATTTGTACTTGTATATTACCCTCCTATTGATTTTTCTTTCACAGACTGATGTCACTCATTCTGTGGACATTTCACGGGGCCAACAGAATTAGTTGATGTAGAAAATGTCTTATTTCATTATTTTAATCAGTTTCTAGAGGTGTCAAGTTCATAATATTTTGCACATGCCTGAAAGTGTGCAATATTAACAATTTTCATTAAAGCATTCATGTTTACAAGACAGGGACTCTTTATTGAGGAATACATATATCTACATCCTAAACTGTAAATTTTTTATTAAACCTCCATCATTAATACTAGTAAGTTATATACTGGTAAGTTATTAAAAATTTTAGCAAGTATACTTATCACACCCTACTTTTCATGAGCATTCTGAGGGGAAACAACAAAAGAAACCATAAGCAAATTGTCATGAAAGTGAGAGTAAATACTCGATGTGAATAAATGTAGATTTTTATAAAGAGCCAAAAATAGATACGTCAATCAAAAATTGTTCTGAAACTCATTCTGGCTTTGCCTAAAATGGTAGGACTTTTCCTTTATGCCTGTCTGTCTGGTTGTTGTTTTGACCAATGTTGTCTTCTAGTTTATCAAAAATTTTCTTTTTTCTATTAATGATTTTTTTGTGTTTTTTTTTCCT